>NC_000001.11:236184121-236335636 GCF_000001405.40 Homo sapiens
TATTATAAGTTGCATCTTAAGGCCTGGGGAAAGTGATTAACTATTTCTTTTAATGCACCATTGCCTCATTAGTATTTGAGACTTGGACTTGCTGTGAACCAAGTATAGAAGCTTCTCTCATAGCAAAGGAAAATAGAGAATAGAGAAACAGAAATAGGAAATAGAGAACACTCATAGGAAATAGTATGCCGGATGGCGACTAGGGAATGGGAGGATAGGGCAATAAGAGACATCATTGTAAGGAATGCTAAACCTGCTCCCCTAGTTTGGTCACATTGCTGTTCAACCAACTTTATATGAATGTCTTTATGGGACAGGACAGAAAATGCAAAACCAAGTAGCGTGAGAAACCACCTGGGAGCCTTGTTCCGTAAATTATTCCAGCCACACAAACTAGTGGTAGCTTTTTGACTTACTGATCTATGAAACCCATAGAAAAGTACAGTGAGTGGATTTGGGGCAATGTGAGCAAAGAGCGGGTGGTGAAGAAGGCATAGATGAGTAATGTCCTCCAATAATTCACAGTTCTTATTTCATACCCAGATGACTGACCTGTTTTTTTATCTTGTTTTTGGAAGCCGCCAGGCTTCAAACCAAGCATTCTGGTTCCAGAGTCAATGGTGGTTTTTTTTGTTTGTTTGCTTTTTGGTTTTTTTTTCTTTTGAGATGAAGTCTTGCTCTGTCACCCAAGCTGGAGTGTAGTGGCGCGATCTCAGCTCACTGCAACCTCCGCCTCCCGGGTTTAAGCGATTCTCCTGCCTCAGCCTCCCAAGTAGCTGGGAATACAGATGCACGCCACCATGCCTGGGTAATTTTTGTATTTTTAGTAGAGACAGGGTTTTACTATGTTGGCCAGGCTGGTCTCGAACTCCTGACCTCAGGTGATCCGACCGCCTCAGCCTCCCAAAGTGCTGGGATTACAGGCGTGGGCCACCGCACCCGTCTGAGTTCATGGTTTTAATCCCTGTGCTACACTGTAGCTTTCTCTGGCATCATAAGGTTTTGAGAAGAAATTATATTCTTAATATAGATGACCTAATAGTCCTATCTATAACTTCTGTAATTACATGGGAAAAAAGTCTAATACTCTTGGGGGGAAATCTATAACTCAAACCCTTCAACTTTAAAGGAATACACTGCAGGTGGGGCATTTCTTAAAAATGTCATCTAACATTTGTATCCATAATTCATTTGGTACAAACAGGTCTCTAAACTTGGCATGATTAGAGCCAGACTTCAGAGTCTAGGTAACGAGATACTCAAAGTGCGGCTCTTTACCATCTGTATCCGAATCCCTCAGGGCGCTTGGTGTAAAGATTCTTAGGTCATGTTGGAGACCCAGACCAGAATCTCTGGGGTAGGTTCCGGGAATGTACATTTTTAATAAGCACTCCAAGTGATCTGAATGAACTGTAAAGTTTGAGAATCTCTGTCCTTATCCTTTTCTTTTTTGAGACAGGGTCTTGCTCTGTCACCCAGGCTGGAGTGCAGTGGCACGATCACAGCTCACCTCAGCCTTGACCTCCTGGGCTTAAGCGATTCTCTTGCCTTAGTCTTGCATGTAGCTGGGATTACTTGCATGAGCCGTGTTGCCCAGGCTGGTCTCAAACTCCTGGCTGTTTTTTGTCTTTTAAAAACAGCTTTATTGAGATGTAACTCACTTACATAATTCACCCATTTCATGTGTATAATTGAGTGGTTTGGGGGATATTCACATATGTGCAACCATCACCACAGCCAATTTTAGAACACTTTCATCATCTCAAAAGGAAACCCCATACTATCATCTGTCATTCCCCATTTCCTTTCTGTCCCTGCCCTACCCCCAGGCATAAGCCACTATAATCTCCTGTGTCTATAGATTTCCCTAGTCTCGACTTTCATATGAATGGAATCATATGGCATGTGGGTTTTTTGACTGGCTTCTTTCACTTAGCAGAATGTTTTTTCAAGATTCGTCTACGTTGTAACATATATTTGTACTTAATTCTTTTTTATTGCCAAATAAATATTTCATTGTATGGATAGACCACATTTTGCTTACCCATTCATCCATTGATGGACATCATTTTTTTTTATTATTATACTATATATTATATATAATATAATATATAATAATATAAATAATATATAATATATATTATATATTATATATAATAATATAAATAATATATAATATATATTATATATAATAATATAAATAATATATAATTATATATATTATATAATATATATTATTAAGTTCTGGGGTACATGTGCAGAATGTGTAGTTTTGTTACATGGGTATACATGAGCTGTGGTGGTTTGCTGCACCCATCAACCCATCACCTACATGAGGTATTTCTCCTAATGCTCTCCCTCCCCTACCTCCCCACCCCCCTACAGGCCCCAGTGTGTGATGTTCCCCTCCCTGTGTCCATGTGTTCTCATTGTTCAATTCCCACTTATGAGTGAGAACATGCGGTGTTTGGTTTTCTGTTCTTGTGTCAGCTTGCTGAGAATGATGGTTTCCAGCTTCATCCATGTCCCTGCAAAGGACATGAACTCATCCCTTTTTATGGCTGCATAGTATTCCATGGTATGTATGTGCCACATTTTCTTTATCCAGTCTATCATTGATGGACATTTGGGTTGGTTCCAAGTCTTTGCTCTTGTGAATAGTGCTGCAGTAAACATACGTGTGCATGTACATGTGCATGTGTCTTTATAGTGGAATGATTTATAATCCTTTGGGTATATACCCAGTAGTGGCATTGCTGGGTCAAATGGTATTTCTAGTTCTAGATCCTTGAGGAATTGCCACACTGTCTTCCACAATGGTTGAACTAATTTACACTACCACCAACAGTGTAAAAGCGTTCCTGTTTCTCCATGTCCTCTCCAGCATCTGTTGTTTCCTGACTTTTTAATGATCGCCATTCTAACTGCTGTGAGATGGTATCTCATTGTAGTTTTGATTTGCATTTCTCTGATGACCAGTGATGAGCATATTTTTCATGTTTATTGGCTGCACTTCTTTTGAGAAGTATCTGTTCATATCCTTTGCCCACTTTTTGATGGGGTTGTTTTTTTCCTGTAAATTTAAGTTCTTTGTAGATTCTGGATATTAGCCCTTTGTCAGATGGATAGATTGCAAAAATTTTCTCCCATTCTGTAGGTTGCCTGTTTACTCTGATGATAGTTTCTTTTGCTGTGCAGAAGCTCTTTAATTTAATTAGATCCCATTTGTCAATTTTGGCTTTTGTTGCCATTGCTTTTGGTGTTTTAGAATGAAGTCTTTGCCCATGCCTATGTCCTGAATGGTATTGCCTAGGTTTTCTTCTAGGATTTTTATGGTTTTAGGTCTTACGTTTAAGTCTTTAATCCATCTTGAGTTAACTTTTGTATAAGGTGTAAGGAAGGGGTCCAGTTTCAGTTTTCTGCATATGGCTACCCAGTTTTCCCAACACCATTTATTAAATAGGAAATCTTTCCCCATTGCTTGTTTGTGTCAGGTTTGTCAAAGATCAGATGGTTGTACATGTGTGGTATTATTTCTGAGGCTTCTGTTCTGTTCCATTGGTCTATATATCTGTTTTGGTACCAGTACCATGCTGTTTTGGTTACTGTAGCCTTGTAGCATAGTTTGAAATCAGGTAGCATGATGCCTCCAGCTTTGTTCTTTTTGCTTAGGATTGTCTCGGCTATGTGGGCCCTTCTTTGGTTCCATATGAAGTTTAAAGTAGTTTTTTCCAATTCTGTGAAGAAAGTCAGTGGTAGCTTGATGGGGATAGCATTGAATCTGTAAATTACTTTGGGCAGTATGGCCATTTTCACAATATTGATTCTTCCTATCCATGAGCATGGAATGTTTTTCCATTTGTTTGTGTCCTCTCTTATTTCCTTGAGCAGCAGTTTGTAGTTCTCCTTGGAGAGGTCCTTCATATCCCTTGTAAGTTGTATTCCTAGGTATTTTCTTCTTTTAGTAGCAGTTGTGAATGGGAGTTCACTCATGATTTGGCTCTCTGTTATTGGTGTATAGGAATGCTTGTGATTTTTGCACATTGATTTTGTATCCTGAGACTTTGCTGAAGTTGTTTATCAGCTTAAGGAGATTTTGGGCTGAGACAGTGGGGTTTTCTAAATATATGATCATGTCATCTGCAAAAAGAGACAATTGACTTCCTCTTTTCCTATTTCAATATGCTTTCTTTCTTTCTCTTGGCTGATTGCCCTGGCCAGAACTTCCAATACTATGTTGAATAGGAGTGGTGAGAGAGGGCATCCTTGCCTTGTGCGGGTTTTCAAAGGGAATGCTTCCTGTTTTTACCCATTCAGTATGGTATTGGCTGTGGGTTTGTCATAAATAGCTATTATTTTGAGATACATTCCATCGATACCTAGTTTATGGAGAGTTTTTACCATGAACGGGTGTTGAATTTTGTCGAAGGTCTTTTCTGCATCTATTGAGATCATCATGTAGTTTTTGTCATTGGTTCTGTTTATGTGATGGATTACGTTTATTGATTTGTGTATGTCGAACCAGCCTTCTATCCCAGATATGAAGCTGACTTGATCGTGGTGGATAAGCTTTTTAATGTGCTGCTGGATTCGGTTTGCCAGTACGTTATTGAGGATTTTCACATTGATGTTCATCAGAGATATTGGTCTGAAATTTTCTTTTTGTTGTTGTGTCTCTGCCAGGTTTTGGTATTAGGATGATGCTGGCCTCATAAAATGAGTCAGGGAGGATTCCCTCTTTTTCTGTTGTTTAGAGTAGTTTCAGAAGGAATGGTACCAGCTCCTCTTTGTACCTCTGGTAGAATTCGGCTGTGAATCTTTCTGGTCCTGGACTTTTTTCGGTTGGTAGGTTATTAATTACTGCCTCAATTTCAGAACTTGTTATTGGTCTATTCAGGGATTCTACTTCTCCTGGTTTAGACTTGGGAGGGTGTATGTGTCCAGGAATTTATCCATTTCCTCTAGATCTTCTAGTTTATTTGCATAGATGTGTTTATAGTATTCTTTGATGGTAGTTTGTATTTCTGTGGGATTGGTGGTGATATCCCCTTTATCATTTTTTATTGCGTCTATTTGATTCTTCTCTCTTTTCTTCTTTATTAGTCTGGCTAGCGGTTTATCCATTTTGTTGATCTTTTCAAAAAAACCAGCTCCTGGATTCATTGATTTTTTTTGAAGGGTTTTTCGTGTCTCTATCTCCTTCAGCTCTGCTCTGATCTTAGTTATTTCTTCTGCTAGCTTTTGAATTTGTTTGCTCTTGCTTCCCAAGTTCTTTTAATTGTGATGTTAGGGTGTCAATTTTAGATCTTTCCTGCTTTCTCTTGTGGGCATTTTGTGCTGTAAATTTCCCTCTACACACTGCTTTAAATGTGTCCCAGAGATTCTGGTACATTATGTCTTTTTCTCATTGGTTTCAAAGAAGATCTTTATTTCTGCCTTAATTTTCTTACTTACCCAGTAGTCATTCAGGAGCAGGTTATTCAGTTTCCATTGGTTGTGCAGTTTTGAGTGAGTTTCTTAATCCTGAGTTCTAATTTGATTGCACTGTGGTCTGAGAGACTGTTATGATTTCTGTTCTTTTGCATTTGCTGAGCAGTGTTTTACTTCCAATTATGTGGTCAATTTTAGAATAAATGAGATGACGTGCTGAGAAGAATGTATACTCTGTTAATTTGGGGTGGAGAGTTCTGTAGATGTCTGCTAGGTCCGCTTGGTCTAGAGCTGAGTTCAAGTCCCTGAATATCCATGTTAATTACATGTCTCATTTATCTGTCTAATATTGACAGTGGGTTGTTAAAGTCTCCCATTATTGTTGTGTGGGGGTCTAAGTGTCTTTGTAGGTCTGTAAGAACTTGCTTTATGAATCTGGGTGCTCCTGTATTGGGTGCATATATATTTAGGATAGTTAGCTGTTCTTGTTGCATTGATCCCTTTACCATTATGTAATGGCCTTTTTTTGTCTCTTTTGATCTTTGTTGGTTTAAAGTCTGTTTTATCAGAGATTAGGACTGCAACTCCTGCTTCTTCTTTTTTTTTTTTTTTTTTTGCTTTCCATTTGCTTGGTAAATATTCCTCCGTCCCTTTATTTTGAGCCTATGTATGTCTTTTCACGTGAGATGGGTCTCCTGAATACAGCATAGTGATGGGTCTTGACTCTTTATCCAATTTGCCAGTCTGTGTCTTTTAATGGGGGCATTTAGCCCATTTACATTTAAGGTTAATATTGTTATGTGTGAATTTGATCCTGACATTATGATGTTAGCTGATTATTTTGCCCATTAGTTGATGCAGCTTCTTTATAGTGTTGACGGGCTTTACAATTTGATATGTTTTTGCAGTGGCTGGTACTGGTTGTTCCTTTCCATATTTAGTGCTTCCTTCAGGAGGTCTTGTAAGGCAGGCCTGGTGGTGACAAAGTCTCTCAGCATTTGCTTGTCTATAATGGATTTTATTTCTCCTTTACTTATGAAGCTTAGTTTGGCTGGATATGAAATTCTGGGTTGAAAATTTTTTTCTTTAAGAATGTTGAATATTGGCCCCCACTCTCTTTTGGCTTGTAGGGTTTCTGCAGAGACAGCTGCTCTTTGTCTGATGGGCTTCCCTTTGTGGGTAACCCGACCTTTCTGTCTAGCTGCCCTTAACATTTTTTCCTTCATTTCAACCTAGGTGAATCTGACGATTATGTGTCTGACGATTATGTGTCTTGCCCTTCTTAAGGAGTATCTTTGTGGTGTTCTCTGTATTTCCTGAATTTGAATGTTGGCCTGTCTTGCTAGGTTGGAGAAGTTCTCCTGGATAATATCCTGAAGAGTGTTTTCCAACTTGGTTCCATTCTCCCCATCACTTTCAGGTACACCAATCAAATGTAGATTTGGTCTTTTCACATAGTTCCATGTTTCTTGGAGGCTTTGTTCATTCCTTTTTATTCTTTTTTCTCTAATCTTGTCTTCTTGCTTTGTATCATTAAGTTGATCTTCAATCTCATATCCTTTCTTCCACTTGATCGATTTGGCTCTTGATACTTGTGTATGCTTCACGAAGTTCTTGTGCTATGTTTTTCAGCTCCATCAGGTCATTTATATTCTCCTCTAAAGTGGTTATTCTAGGTAGCAATTCATCTAACCTTTTTTCAAGGTTCTTAGCTTCCTTGCATTGGGTTAGAACATGCTTCTTTAGCTCGGAGGAGTTTATTATTACCCACCTTCTGAAGCGTACTTCTGTCAGTTCATCAAACTCATTCTCTGTCCAGTTTTGTTCCCTTGCTGGCGAGGAGTTGTGATCCTTTGGAGGAGAAGTGGCATTCTGGTTTTTGGAATTTTCAGCCTTTTTGTGCTGGTTTCTCCCTATCTTTGTGGATTTATCTACCTTTGGTCTTTGATGTTGGTGACCTTCGGATGGGGTCTCTGAGTGGACATGCTCTTCCTTTCTGTTTGTTAGTTTTCCTTCTAACAGTCGGACCCCTCTGCTGCAGGTCTGCTGGAGTTTGCAGGAGGTCCACTCCAGACCCTGTTTGCCTGGGTATCACCAGCGGAGGCTGCAGAACAGCAAAGATTGCTGCCTGTTCTTTCCTCTGGAAGCTTTGTCCCAGAGGGGCACCTGCCAGATGCCAGCCAGAGCTCTCCTGTATGAGGTGTCTGTCAGCCCCTACTGGGAGGTATCTCCCAGTCAGGATACATGGGGGTCATCGACCCACTGAAGGCGGCAGTCTGACCCTTAGCAGAGCCTGAACGCTGTGCTGAGAGATCTCCTTCTCTCTTCAGAGCCATCAGGCAGGCACATTTAAGTCTGCTGAAGCTGTGCCCACAGCTGCCCCTTCCCCCAAGTGCTCTGTCCCAGGGAGATGGGGGTTTTATCTATAAGTCCCTGACTGGGGCTGCTGCCTTTTTTTCAGAGATGCCCTGCCCAGAGAGGAGAAATCTGGCAGTCTGGCCACAGTGGCCTTGCTGAGCTGCCATGGGCTCTGCCCAGTTTGAACTTCCCAGCGGCTTTGTTTACACTGTGAGGGTAAAACCACCTACTCAAGCCTCAGCAATGGCGGATGTCCCTCCCCACACCAAGCTTGAGTGTCCCAGGTCGACCTCAGACTGCTTCTGTGCTGGCAGCGAGGATTTCAAACCAGTGGATCTTAGTTTGCTGGGCTCCGTTGGGGTGGGACCTACCGAGCCAGACTACTTGGCTCCCTGGCTTCAGCCCCCTTTCCAGGGGAGTGAATGGTTCTGTCTCACTGGCGTTCCAGATGCCACTGGGGTATGGGGAAAAAAAAAAAAACAAAAAACCTCCTGCAGCTGGTTCAGTGTCTGCCCAAATGGCCGCCCAGTTTTGTGCTTGAAACCTAGGGCCCTGGAGAGGTAGGCACCAGAGGGAATCTCCTGGTCTGCGGGTTGTGAAGACTGTCGGAAAAGTGCAGTATCTGGGCCGGAGTGCACAGTTCCTCAGGTTCAGTCCCTCATGGCTTCCCTTGGGTAGGGGAGAAAATTCCCTGACTCCTTGCACTTCTCGATCGAGGCGACACCCCACCCTGCTTCGGCTCACCCTCCGTGAGCTGCACCCACCGTCCAAGCAGTCCCAGTGAGAAGAACCAGGTACCTCAGTTGGAAATGCAGAAATCACCCACCTTCTGTGTCGATCTCGCTGGGAGCTGCAGACTGGAGCTGTTCCTATTCGGCCATCTAATAGGTGATATGTTTTTATCGCTGTATGACATCACTGGTTTTAAGGAATTTTAAGTTTTTCTTAAATGTTTCCTTTTTATCATTTCATTTCAAGCTTTTTTTGTTTGTTTGTTTATTTGGATACAGAGTCTGGCTCTGTCACCCAGGCTGGAGTGGAGTGGGGTGATCTCAGCTCACTGCAACCTCTGCCTCCTGGGTTCAAGCGATTCCCCTGCCTCAGACTCCCAAATAGCTGGGATTACAGGTGCCTGCTACCACGCCTGGCTAATTTTTGTATTTTTAGTAGAGATGGGGTTTCATTATGTTGGCCAGGCTGGTCTTGAACTCCTGAACTCAGGCGATCCACCTGCCTTGGCCTCCCAAAGTGCTGGGATTACAGGTGTGAGCCACTGTGCCTGGACTATAATTTCAAACTTCTTGACCCACATCAAGAAGTTTGAAATGATAAAAAGGACACATTTAAGGAAACCATTTGTGGATATGAGTGGACATTTGGGTCATTTCCACCATTTGGCTATGATGAATAAGGCTGTTATAAACATTTGTGTATAAGTTTCTGTGTGAACATATGTTTTCATTTCTCTCGGGTATATTCTTAGGAGTGGAATTGCTGGGTCATATGGTATTTCTGAGTGTCACTTTCTGAAAAACTGCCAGACTATTTTCCACAGAGACAGCACCATTTTACATTCTCACCAGCAGTGTATGAAGGTTCTGATTCCTCCACGCTCCTAGCACTTGTTATCTGACTTTTTGATTCTAGATATCATAATGTGTATTAAATGATATCTCCTTTTGGCTTCTGATGTATATTTCTCTGATGACTAAGTTTGTCGAGGATCTTTTTGTGTGCTTAGTGGTCATTTGTATATCCTCTTTGGAGAAATGTCTGTTCACATCCTTTGTCCATTTTTAAACTGGGTTGTCTTTTTATTATTGAATTGTAAGAGTTCTTTATATGTTTTAAATATACTCTTAAGTCCCTTGTCAGGTATATGATTTGCACATATTTTCTCTCATTCTGTAGCTGTCTTTTCACTTTCTTGATTGGTATCCTTTGAAGCACAAAAGCTTTTACTTTTGTCCACTGTATTTATCTTTTGTTGCTCGTGTTCTGGTGTCATACCCAAGAACCCTTTGCCACATCGTATACTGATGGTCCCTGATTTACAACAGTTCAACTTACAATTTTTCAACTTTACAGATGGTGTGAAAGCAGGACACATTCAGTAGAAACTATAATTGAAATTTTGAATTTTTTAATCTTTTCCTAGGCTAACAATATGGGGTATGATAATCTCTCAAGATGTATAGAGCAGTGAGGCACAGCTCTCAGTCAGCCATGCGATCATAGGGGTCAACAACTGATACTCTATGGTGTGTATTTTTTATTTGTTTTCAACTTACAATGAGTTTATCAGAATGTAACCTCATCATAATTTTGAGAAGCATCTGTATTTGCCCCTGAAAACTTGCCCCTATATTTTTTTCTAAGAGTTTTGTAGTTTTTGTTCTTACATTTGGTCTTTAATACATTTTGAGTTATTTTTTGTATATGGTGTGAGATAAGGATCCAACTTCATTCTTTTGCGCGTGGCTCATAGGTATTCTTAAACTATTAAAAAGAGTAAATTTTAAGGCAATCCACCTTGTGTTAGTTCCACTTTGCTCCTTATGTTTGGCTGCAATTAGTCTTAGCAAAGCAGGAATTCACATTTAGATAGCCGTCATGTGGCCACCTCTGTTCATGTTCTATTAACTTTTAAATAGGTCACTGATGTTAAGAACAATGATGTCAAAACATATGCCTGATTTGGTGTACCATATAATCTAGTTCTGATCTTGTTTAGGCTTTCCTGACAAAGACAACTTTACTTTTTAGAAGCTGCTGGCAGAAAAGGCTTTTCAAACCCCAACAGTCATCCCAGGGCAGCTGTGATACTGAAAACTGGCAATGACCTCTAGGGTGTACCTGAGACCAGTCATTGGAAATTTTTTGAGAGGTAAACTCAGTTTGGGGGCAGAAACAGGATGAAATGATTATAGAGGCAGGAGATGGAAATGGGATGAGAAATCCTCCCCAAATGATTTCACCATTGTTATGACTGCTCTCATGATTTATATCCAAATTGAACTATCTACTTTATTCTGGCTAATTTGGGCATCATCTAGCTTTTAAAAATTTTTTTGTAGGTACATAGATAATAGGTGTGTATATTTATGGGGTACATGAGATGTTTTGATACAGGCATGATGATTATTTCACATCATGGAGAATGGTGTCTCCATCCCAAGCATTTATCCTTTGTTTTACAAACAATCCAATCACACTCTTTTAGTTATTTTAAAATGTACAGTTATTATTGACTATATAGTCCACCCTGTTGTTAGTGCTATCAAATAGTAAGTCTTATTCATTCACTAAAATTCTTTTTTTTTTTTTCCCCATTAACCATACTCTCCCCCCGCCACTACCCTTCCCAGCCTCTGGCAACCATCCTTCTCCTCTCTGTGTCCATGAGTTCAATTGTTTGAGTTTAGATCCCACAAATAAGTGAGAACATGCGATGTTTGTCTGTGTCTGGCTTATTTCACTTAACATAATCATCTCCAGTTCATCCATGTTGTTCCAAATTACTGGATTTCATTCTTTTTTATGGCTGAGTGGTACCCCATTCTGTATATGTTCCACATTTTCTTTATCCATTCATCTGCTGATGAACACTTAGGTTGCTTCCAAAGCTTAGCTATTGTGAACAGTGCTGCAACAAACACAGGATTGCAGATATCTCTTCAATATCCTGATTTCCCTTCTTTTGGGTAGATACCAGCAGTGGGATTGCTGGATCATGTGGTAGCTCAATTTTTATTTTTGAGGAACTGCCAAACTGTTCTCCATAGTGGTTGTACTAATATACATTCTCACCAACAGTGTTCAAGGGTTCCCTTTTCTCCACATCCTTGCCAGCGTTTGTTACTGCCTTTTAGATATAAGCGATTATAACTGCAGTGAGGTAATATCTCACTGTAGTTTTGATTTGCATTTCTCTGATGATCATTGATGAACACTTTTTGATATGCCTGTTTGCCATCTGTATGTTGCCTTTCGAGAAATGTCTGTTCAAATCTTTTGCCCATTTTTAATTTTGATTACTACACCTTTTCCTAATATTCTGGTTGTTAATCCCTTGTCAGATGGGTAGTTTGCAAATATTTTCTCCCATTCTGTGGGTTGTCTTGACTTTGTTGTTTCTTTTACTGTGCAAAAGCTTTTAACTTGATATGATCCTATTTTTCCATTTTGCTTTGGTTGCTTGTAGGATATTGCTCATGAATTCATTTATTTTTATTTTTATTTATTTTTGAGATGGAGTCTTGCTCTGTTGCCCAGGCTGGAGTACAGTAGCATGATCTTGGCTTACTGCAATCTCTGCTTTCTGGGTTCAAGTGATTCTCCTGCGTCAGCCTCCTGAGTAGCTGGGACTACAGGCATGAGCTACCACACCCAGCTAATTTTTGTATTTTTGGTATAGATGGGTCTTCACCGTGTTGGCCAGCCTGGTCTCGAACTCCTGACCTCAAGTCATCCACCTGCCTCAGCCTCCCAAAGTGCTGGGATTACAGGCATGAGCCACTGTGCGTGGCCAAGAATTAATATTATTTTTAAATTTTTGTCTTAATTTCAAAAGTTTTTGGGGAATAGGTAGTGTTTGGTCACATGGAAAAGTTGTTTAGTGGTGACTGCTGAGATTTTGGTGCACCCATTACCTTAGCATTGTACACTGTACCCAATGTGTAGTCTTTTATCCCTCACCCTCTTCCACCCTTCCCCCAGGTCCCCAATTCCATTATATTGCTCTTATCCCTTTGCATCTTCATAGCTCAGCTCCTGCTTATAAGTGAGAAGATATAATGTTTGGTTTTCCATTCCTGAGAGTTATTTCACTTAGAATAATGGTCTCCAACTCCATCCAGGTTGTTGTGGATGCTATTTCATTCCTTTTTATGGCTGAGTAGTAGTCCATGGTATATATATACCATTTTTCTTTATCCACTAGTTGGTTGATGGGCATTTAGGCTGGTTCCATATTTTTGTATTTTGGGAACTGTGGATTGTGTGGCTATAAACATGCCTGCACAAGTGTCTTTTTCATATAATGACTCCTTTACCTCTGGGTAGATACCCAGTAAGTGGGATTCCCACCAGCAGTATAAAAGTGTTCTTTTTTACTACATCCATGCCAACATCTGTTATTTTTTTATTTCTGAATTATGGTCATTCTTGCAGGAGTAAGGTATGGGGCATCTCATTGTGGTTTTGGTTTGCATTCCTCTGAGAATTAGTGATGTTGAGGATTTTTTCATGTTTGTTGGCCATATGGATATCTTCTTTTGAGAATTGTCTATTCATGTCCTTAGCCCACTTTTGGATGGGATTAGTTGTTTTTTTTTCTTGCTGATATGTTTGAGTTCTTGAAGATTTTGGATATTAGTCCATTGCTGGATGCATAGTCTGTGAATATTTTCTCCTACTCTATGACTTGTCTGTTTACTCTGCTGATTATTTCCTTTGCTGTACAGAAGACTTTTTGTTTAATTAGGTCCCATGTATTTATCTTAGTTTTTGTTTTATTTGCTTTTGGATTCTTGGTCATGATCTCTTTGCCTAAGACAATGTCTAGAAGAGTTTTTCTGATTTATCTTCTAGAATTTTTCTGGTTTCAGGTCTTAGATTTAAGTCTTTGATCCATCTTGAGTTGATTTTTGTATACGGTGAGAGATGAGGATCCAGCTTCATTGTTCTACATGTGGCTTGCCAATTATCCCAGCACCATTTGTTGAACAGGGTGTCCTTTCCCCACTTTATGTTTTTATTTGTGTTGTTGAAGATCAGTTGTCTGTACATATTTGGCCTTATTTCTGGGTTCTCTATTCTGTTCCATTGGGGTACCTGCCTCACTCTGTCACCCAGGTTGGAGCACAGTGGCACAATCCCGGCTCATTGGAACCTCCGCCTCCCAGGTTCAAGTGATTCTCCTGCCTCAGCCTCCTGAGTAGGTGGGATTACAGGCATCTACCGCCATGCGCAGCTAATTTTTGTATTTTTAGTAGAGACGAGGTTTCACTATGTTGACCAGGCTGGTCTTGAACTCCTGACCTCAAGTGATCCACCCGCCTCGGCCTCCCAAAGTGCTGGGATTTCAGGCTTGAGCCACTGCATCCGGCCCTGCCTGCCTATTCTTATACGAGTACTATGCTGTTTTGGTAACTATAGCCTTGTAATATAGTTGGAAGCTGGGTAATGTGATACCTCCAGATTTGTTCTTTTTGCTTAGTCTTGCTTTGGCTATGCACGATCTTTTTTGGTTCCATACGAATTTTAGAATTTTTTCTATTTCTGTGAAGAATGATGACCTTTTTGTTTTTTTGAGACAGAGTCTTGCTCTGTCGTCCAGGCTGGAGTGCAGTGGTGTGATATTGGCTCACTGCAATCTGTGCCTCCCAGGTTCAAGTAATTCTTGTGCCTCAGCCTCCAAAGTAGCTGTGATTACAGGTATGCACCACCACACCTGGCTAACTTTTGCATTTTTTAGTAGAGACAGGGTTTTGCCATGTTGTCCAGGCTGGTCTCGAACTACTGACCTGAAGTGATCTACCTGCCTGGCCTCCCAAAGTGCTGGGATTACAGGTGTGAGCCACTGTATCCAGCCTGATGATGGTATCTTGATGGGAATTGCATTGAATTTGTAGATTGCTTTTGGCAGTATGGTCACTTTCATAATATTGATTCTACCCATCTGTGAGCATGGGGGATGTGTTTCCATTTGTTTCTGTCATCTGTGATTTCTTTTAGCAGTGTTTTGTAGCTTTCCTTGTAGAGAGCTTTCACCTCCTTGGTTAGGTATATTCCTAAGTATTTTGTTTTTGCAGCTGTTGTAAAAGGGGCTGAGTTCCTTATTTGATTCTCAGCTTGGTCGTTGTTGGTGATCAGTTTTAGGAGCTTTTAGGATAAGTCTTTAGGGTTTTCTAGGTATGCGATTATGTCATTGGTGAACAGTGACAGTTTGACTTACTCTTTACTGGTTTGGGTGCCCTCTTGCTGTTGTCTGATTGCTCTGGCTAAGGACTTCCAGTACTATGTTGAATAGAAGTGGTGAAAGAGGGTTTCCTTGTCTTGTTCCATTTCTCAGGTGGAATGCTTTCAACTTTTCCTGATTCAGTATAATGTTGGCTGTGGGTTTGTCATAGATGGCTTTTATTATCTTGATGTATGTCCCTTCTATGCCAGTTTTTCTGAGGGCTTTAGTCCTAAACAGATGCTGGATTTTTTCAAATGCTTTTTCTGCATCCATTGAGATAATCATATGATTTTTGTTTTTAATTCTGTTTATGTGATATAGCCCATTTATTGACTCATGTATGTTAAACCATCCCTGCATCCCTGGTATGAAACCCACTTGATCATGGTGGATTATCTTTTTGATATGCTGTTGGATTCAGTTAGCTATTAATATTTTGTTGAGGATTTTTACATCTATGTTCATCAGGGATAAACATAGTTTTGCTATGTCCTTTCCTGGTTTTGGTATTAGGGTGATACTGGTTTCATAGAATGATTTAGGGAGGATTCCCTCTTTCACTATCTTTTGGAACGGTTTCAGAATAAGATTGGTACCAATTCTTCTTTGAATATCTGATAGAAATTAGCTGTGAATCCACCTGGTCCTGGACTTTTTTTGTTGTTGGAAATGTTTTTATTGCTGTTTCGATCTCGCTAGTTGTTATGTTCAGTTTCTATTTCTTCCTAATTTAATCTAGGAGGGTTGTATATTTTGATTTTCTAGTTTCTGTAAAGGTGTTCGTAGTAACCTTGAATGATCTTTTGTATTTCTGTGGTATCGGTTGTAATATCTCCCATTTTGTTTCTAATTGAGCTTATTTGGATCTTCTGTCTTCTTGGTTAATCTCACTAATGGTCTATCAATTTTGTTTATCTTTTCAAAGAATCAGCTTTTTGTTTCATTTATCTTTTGTATTGCCTTTTTGTTTCAATTTCATTAGTTCTGCTCTGATCTTTGTTATTTCTTTTCTTCTGCTGGGTTTGGGTTTGGTTTGTTCTTGTTTCTCTAATTCCTTGAGGTAGGACCTTAGATTTTCTATTTGTGCTCTTCCAGACTTTTTTGATGTAGGAATTTAATGCTGTCAACTTTCCTCTCAGCCCCACTTTTGCTGTGCCTCAGAGGTTTGGGTAAGTTGTGTCATTATTATCATTCAGTTCTAAGAATTTAATTTCCATCTTGATTTCATTGTTGACCCAAAGATCATTCAGGAGCACATTAATTTCCATGCATTTATATAGTTTTGAGGGTTCCTTTTGGAGTTAATCTCCAATTTTATATTCCACTGTGGTCTGAGAGAGTACTTGATATAATCTCAATTTTCTTAAATTGATTTAGACTCATTTCATAGCCTATCATATGGTCTATCTTGGAGAATGTTCTATGTGCCAATGAAAAGAATGTATATTCTGCAGTTGTTGGGTAGAATGTTCTGTAAGTATCTGTTAAGTCCGTTTGTTCTAGGGTATAATTTAAGTCCATTGTTTCTTTGTTAACTTTCTGTCTTGATGGCTTGTCTAGTGCTGTCAGTGGAGTACTGAAGTACCCCACTATGGTGTTGCTATCTCATTTCTTAATGTCTAATAATAATTGTTTTATAAATTTGGGGGCTCCCATATTAGGTGCATATATATTTAGGATTGTGATATTTTCCTGTTGGACTGATCCTTTTATTAATAAATAATGTCTCTCTTTGTCTTAACTGTTGATGCTTTAAAGTCTATTTTGTCTGATAAAAGAATAGCTACTCCTGCTTACTTTTTGTTTTCATTTGCATGGAATATCTTTTTCCACCCCTTTACCTTAAGTTTATGTGAGTACTTATGCATTAGTTGAGTCTCTTGAAGACAGCAGATACTTGATTTGTGGATTTTTACCTAGTCTGCCATTCTGTATCTTTTAAATGGAGCATTTAGGCCATTTACACCCAACATTAGTATTGAGATGTGAGACTGTTTTATTCATCATGCCAGTTGTTGCCTGAATACTTTTTTTTTTCATTGTTTTATAGGCCTGGTGAGATTTATGCTTTAAGGAGGTTCTATTCTGGTGTATTTTGAGGTTTTGTTTCAAGAATTAGAACTCCTTTTAGCATTTCTTGTAGTGCTGGCTTGGTAGTGGCAAATTCTTAGCATTTGGTTGTCTGAAGACTTTGTATCTTTTCCTTCATTTATGAAGCTTTGTTTTGCTGGATACAGAATTCTTGGCTGACAATTATTTTGTTTGAAGAGGCTAAAGATAGGACCCCAATCCCTTCTGGCTTATAGGGTTTCTCCTGAGAAATCTGCTGTTAAACAGCTTTTAAAATTCTTTCCTTTGTCTTGACTTTAGATAACCTGACTGTGCCTGATCATCTTTTTGCAATTATTTTCCCAGGTGTTCTTTGAGCTTCTTGTATTTGGATGTCTAGATCTCTAGTGAGGCCAGGGAAGTTTTCCTTGATTATTCCCTCAAATATGTTTTCCAAACTTTAGATTTCTCTTCATCTTCAGGAACACCAATTATTATGTTTGGCCATTTGACATAATCACAAATTTATTGGAGGCTCTGTTCATTTTGTAAATTCTTTTTTGTCTTTGTGGATTGGGTAATTGCCTTGTCTTCAAGTTCTGAAGTCCTTTCTTTTCTACTTGATTCTATTGTTGAAACTTTACAGTGAATTTTTTATCCTCCAAGTGCGTCTTTCATTTCCAGAAGTTGTGACAGTTTTTTATTATATCTGTTTCTCTGGAGACATTTTCATCCATATCTGTATTTTAAAAAAGAGTACTTAAGTTGGTTTTCACCTTTCTCTGGTATCTCTTTGAGTAGCTTAATAATCAACCTTCTTAATTATTTATCTGGCAATTCAGGTATTTCTTCTTGGTTTGGATCCATTGCTGGAGAGCTGGCATGAGCCTTGTTATAGAACCTTGTTTTGTCATATTACCAGAACTGCTTTTCTGATTCCTTCTCATGTGGGTAGACTATTTCACTGGAAAAATCTGGAACTCAAAGCTGCTGGTCAGATTCTTTTGTCTGGGTGGTTCCTTGATGTGGGTTGCTTCCCCTTCTCCTAGTGATGGGGCTTCCTGTGAGCCAGACTGCAGTGATTGTTATTGCTCTTCTTGGTCTAGTCACCCAGCAGGGCTACCGGGCTTTGGACTGGTGCTGGGGAATGTCTGCAAAGAGTCCTGTGATGCAATTCATCTTCAGATCTCCCAGCTATAGATACCAGCACCTGCTCCTGTGGAGGTGGCAGGGGATTGAAGTAGACTCTGTGAAAGACCTTGGTTGTAAGTATGTTTAGTATGCTGGCTTTCTTAAGTGCTTTATGCTAGCAATGAAGTTGCCACCATGGACAGACTCAGGACCACTGTTTAGCCAGGATGTTGGAGGCAGTAGAATTAGCTGTTGTTTTCTCCTTCCTTGGAGCAGGGGATCTGTCATGAGTTGCTGTAATGTCCTGAGGTGGTTGGCCTCCAGCCAGGAGGTGGCACTTTCAAGAGAGCACCAGAGTTTTTCACCTGTCTCTCAGAATTTGCAGTGGCCTGCCGCTTCTTTCCAAGTGTCTGTGAATTCCTTCAGTTTTCCTGGTATGCTCCTGTGGTGGTTCCTGGAGCAAAAGTCCATGGTGTGACTCTCCACACACTGTTCTGTCTGTCCAAGTGGGAGCTGCATGTAAGCCCTATCTCCTATCCACCATCTTCCCCTCAAAGTATTTATATGTAAATAGAATAGATGAACAGAATCTAGATCCAGATGCAAATCTGAAATCCATTCCCTGCCTGTTGAACTTTCACTTCTTCAGGAAACAAATTCTCTGCTCTTTAGCCCCAAACCTCTGCCATGATGGCAGTGCCCATAGGGACACTCTCAAGAAATTTTTGCCCAGACCCATGTCTTGGCGATATTCCCCAATGTTTTCTTGTAGTAGTTTCACAGTTTGAGGTCTTAGGTTTAAGTCTTTAATCCATTTTTTTTGATTTTTGTATCTGGTGAGAGATAGTGGTCTAGTTTCATTCTTCTGCATATGGATATCTAGTTTTCCCAGCACCATTTATTGAAGTCTTTTCCCCAGTGTATGTTCTTGGCAGTTTGTTGAAAATGAGTTCACTGTAGGTGTGTGGATTTGTTTCTGGGGTCTCTATTCTGTTCTATTGGTCTATGTGTCTGTTTCTTTTCTTTCTTTCTTTTTTGTTTTGAGACAGAGTCTTGCTCTGTCGCCCAGGCTGGAGTGCAATGGCGTGATCTCGGCTCACTGCAAGCTCCGCCTCCCAGGTTCACGCCATTCTCCTGTCTCAGCCTCCCGAGTAGCTGGGACTATGGGCACCCCCCATTTCGCCCGGCTAATTTTTTGTATTTTTAGTAGAGATGGGGTTTCACTGTGTTAGCCAGGATGGTCTTGATCTCCTGACCTCATGATCTGCCTGCCTCAGCCTCCCAAAGTGCTGGGATTACAGGTGTGAGCCACCATGCCTGGCCCTATGTGTCTGTTCCTATACCAGTACCATGCTGTTTTAGTTACTATAACTCTGTAGTGTAATTTGAAGTCAGGTCATGTTGATTCTCCCAGTTTTGTTCTGCTTAAAATAGCTTTGGCTATTCTGGGTCTTTTGTGGTTCTGTATAAATTTTAGGATTGTTTTTTCTATTTCTGTGAAGAGTATCATTGGTATTTTGATGGGGATTGCATTGAATCTGTAGATTGCTTTGGGTAGTATGGCCATTTTAACAATATTGATTCCTCCAATCCATGAACAGAAAATATTTTTCCATTTTTTGGTGTCCTCTTCAGTTTCTTTAAATGTTTTATAGTTTTCATTATAGAGCTCTTTCACTTCTTTGTTTAATTTCTAGGTATTTGTGGCTATTATAAGTGGGATTACTTTTTGTTTCTTTTTCAGATTGTTCACTCTTGGTATATAGAAATGCTACTGATTTTTTGTGCAACTTTACTGAATTTATTAGTTCTCATACTTTTTGTGGAGTCATTAATTTGACTTTTTCTATTCCAATTTGGATGCCCTTTCTCTTGTCTGATTGCTCTAGCTAGGACTTCCAGTACTATGTTTAATAACAGTGGTGACTGTGTGTTCCACATCTTAGAGGAAAGGCTTGTAGTTTTCCCCTATTCAGTATGATACTAGCTATGGGTCTGTCATATATGGCTTGTATTATGTTGAGGTATGTTTCTTCTTTCCCCGGTTTGAGGGTTTTTATCATGAAGGAACACTGAATTTTATCAAGTGCTTTTTTAGCATCAATTGAGATGATCATATGGTTTTTATCTTTCATTCTGTTAACATGATGTGTCACATTTATTTGTGCTATGTTGAGCCATCCTTGTATCACATGGATAAATCCCACTTAGTCATGATGAATAATCTTTCCAATGTATTGTTGAATTTGGTTTACTAGTATTTTGTTGAAGATTTTTGCATCAATATTTATCAGAGATATTGGCCTACAGTTTTATGTGTCTTTGGTTTTAGTATCAGGGTAATACTGGCCTCCTCCATGAGTGTAGAAGTACTCCCTCTTCCTCTATTTTTTTTGGATTAGTTTGAGTATGACTGACATTAGTTCTTCTTTAAATGTTTGGTAGAATTCTGCAGTGAAGCCATTGGGTCCCAGGCTTTTCTTTACTGGGAGACTTTTTATTATGGCTTTGATCTCTTGCCTTTTTTCTCCTTGTTACTAACAGTGAAAGTCTTTAGAAAACCTTAAGAGAGCTCTGAAAAGAACCCTTGTTTTAGGGACAGAAGAACTGAAGAAAAGCTGGGAGAAAACATTGCTTTCTCAGTGGATTAGGGAGCAGAGAAATTCTAGTTAGGTAGAATAAAAGACTTGTTATTGGTCTGTTCGGGTTTTAGTCTTTCCGGTTTAGTCTTAGTAGGCTGTATGTGTCTTGGAATTTGCCCATTTCTTCTAGATTTTACAGTTTATTGGCATATAGTTACTCATCATCTAGCTTTTCAATAAGGGATTAAAACAATGATGACTCACTGTTGCAAGCAAGACTCTGATAGAAGACTTTGCCCATACTGATAAAAGGCAAGGCGAATCCCTCTCAAACATAAGAGTAACTGAAATGAATATTCCAGCTGAACAGATATAGCCTACATTCAAATGAATAGAACATCTTTAGTCTCCTACAAGAAAGAGATCTTATTTTTGTCTGGTGCAAGGCATGATGTCTGTAAGTATGCTGAATGATTACCTGTCTTTCTAGACCAACCCTGGAATGGTCCCCAGCCATGGATTCAGTCCCAGATCTTATTTCTTTGACAACCCTCGAAGATATGACAGTGATGATGACCTTGCCTGGAACATTGCCCCTCAGGGACTTCAGGGAGGGTAAGACCCTACTTCATGTTAGACAAGCCTCATCAGGAGGGAAGGGTTACACCAGTTAAATAGATTCAAGCTAAAAGAAAATTCCTACGTTAAAACTGTGCAGCCTTAGGTGGTATAAGACTGGATTCTCAGTAGATCATTTTACTTATGTGAAACATTCAGGAATGAGAAAGGACATCCGGTTTTTTTAAAGCCCCATAGCATTATTGTATACAGTAGTGTTTCCTAAACAATATTCCATGAAACACTATTTTCTTAATAGTTATGCTGTGCAAAAGGAAATGATAATCAACTTTTTTATTTCTTGGAGATAGGGTCTCACTCTGTTGCCCGGCTGGAGTGCAGAGTGGTGCAATCTTGGCTCACTGCAACCTCCCGCTCCCAGGTTCAAGTAATTCTTGTGCCTCAGGCTCCTGAGTAGCTGGGATTACCGGTGTGCGCCACCGCACCCAGCAAATTTTTTTATTTTTAGTAGAGACGGGGTTTTGCCACGTTGGCCAGGCTGGATTGAACTCCTGGCCTCAAGTGATCTGCCCACCTTGGCCTCCCAAAGTGCTGGGATTACAGGCGTGAGCCACTGCACCCGGCCAGAAAAAAAACTTTTTAGAAAATGCCGAGCGAGCCTGTAATATGCTAATGTGTGCTCTGAATCTCCAAGAGGGAAATACAGCACTTGTCTATGGAATCACTCAATGGAACATGATATCTTTAATCACATGTTCTAAAGCTAGAGAGTAAATGCAGTAGTATTTATTTATTAGAATAAATTATACATTATAAAGGACCAAGTTTTCAAATTTGAATGATGTCAGTTCTTAATTTAAAATTTCATTTACATGAAGGGTATTTATTTGGTCTCAATTTTCATGAATACTTATTTAATAAATACTTCTATAGCATCTACTCTGTATCAGACACTGTTCTAAGAGATTCACAAATATCAACTCATTTAGTCTTAACAGTCCTGAGAGGTCAGTACTATTATTAGCCTCATAATACAGATGAAACTGAGGTATCTAGAGGGTAGGTAACTTGTCCAAGGTCACACAGCTAGCAAGTGATCAGGCTACAATTCTAACTCAGGCAGTTTTGTTCAAATTTGTTTTCTGAATCACCATACTATGTAAACAGTTTGTATATAAGTACCCTGTCTCTTAGTCTCACCTACGCTTATGTTATACTTTCACGTGAGTTTTAATAGCAGGAGTCTCCTTCCTTGAATCTACATGCGGATCTGGCCCAGAAAATGTGGAAAGGGCAGTTAAATACTGAGAGTTCAAAGCAGCATACATAGAGGGTGTAAGACAATACATGAACTACCAGTCCGCTGCCATCGCCTAATCTTCAGTGAATTGGGAAGGCAAATAAAAAGAGGGAAGCACCTGAAATTGCAACCATAGCAGAGATCCACCCCAGGATTCCAAGTTTTGCTTACCTCAGCATGGGCATGGTCTGCAAACAGGAAGGGTAGTTGCTATTGGGATTCCCTTCCCTTTTCCTCAGCCTGCTGTGCTCAGCCATACTCCACTACCCGATGACTATCATGTTTCCCCTTTCAGCCTGTGGCTCTGAGACGGTGAGGCCAGCAGGGGTGAGAGGAGCCAAAAGGGCTGACATAGTGCCTGCCAAGCCTGTCTTCTCTCTGCTTGTCCTCTCAGGACCCCCATCCTGTTCCTGGGAAAGGGGAGCTTCTTAGAAAGTGAAAGGTTATCTTATGTAATCTTTTGTAAGATTAAAGACTTAGCATTAACAACTTTACAACTTTTTTCCCTCTGGGATGAAATGATAAAAAATATATGCTTGCCTTTTTACTCCTTGTTAGTAACAGTGAAAGTCTTTAGAAAACTTTTTAAGAGAGCTCTGAAAAGAGTCCTTGTTTTAGGGACAGAAGTACTGAAGAAAAGCTGGGAGAATACATGCTTTCTCAGTGATCGGGGAGCAGAGAAATCCTGGTCAGATAGGATAAAAGATTGTCGCTGAGAAAAAAGAAGAAAGCTGCCCAATGCGCTGAGCCAGCAGATGTAAAGAACGTAAGCTGGAAGCAAGCCAACAAACAAGAAGGACTTCTTGAAGTCAAAAGCTGTCCTTTGGGTCACTCAGATTCTGAGCTCCACCTCTTCCTTAAAACTGTTCTTTTCCAGTTACCCCACTGCATCTCCTATTAGTTGCTTTCCCCTTTAAACCCATATTCTGCTAGAGCTGTCCCACCCTCTCACCTGCCAGAAATGACTTAGAGCTGAGGGAGTCCTCACTACCGATATGGTGAAGACAAGACCCCCTTTCTACTACATAGAGGAACATAATTATAATGAAAACGACTTACGTGTATTGAGAATTAACTATATATTAGACACTGTTCTAAGCACTTTACAGATGTTAACTCAGTCCCCACAATAGGCCCACGACGTAGTTACTAATATTACTCCCATTCTAAGATGAGGAAATTGAGGCATAGAAGTTACTTGTCCAAAGACACCACCACAGGTTGTGAGCTGTACTCCATGTTAGGATTCAGATGCAGTTTGTTGCTGAAAACATTTCCTATGCATAGTGACTGGCTGGGTTCTCTAGTCATGCTGTATACTCTGTGCTCTAAAGAGTTCAGTAGAGTTGTCGGTGGGCATTTCAGCCCTGTGTGTAGCATGGTTTTGTGGGAAAATGGACTTTAAGAGCCATTTAAAAGAACTTTAGAGTTATCTATAGTTTACACAAAAATCTCAGCTCTGTCTACCTAAACTAGACTATGTCATACATACTATATAATGTTTCAAGTCACTGAAATATTTTTTTCTTTTTAAGTTTTGCTCCAGATTACTATGATTGGGGACAACAAACTAACAGCTTCCTGGCACAAGCAGGAACTTTGCAAGACTCAACTTTGGATCCTGACAAACCAAGCCTTGGGTAGCATCAGTTAACAGTTTTATGGACGATTCCTCAGATGAAAAGCTTCAGAAAAGCATAGTGACAGCTGAATTTTTAGGGCACTTTTCCTTAAGAAATAGAACTTGATTTTTATTTGTTACAGGTTTCCAATGGCCCCATAGGAATAAGCAATAATGTAGACTGATAAACCCTTATTTTAGTACTAAAGAGGGAGCCTTGCTATTTCAGTGGGTATAATTTAAACTTTTTAAAGAAAATCTGTACTTTTATAAAGATGTATTTTGTATAACTTAAATAATAATGCTAAAGTATACTAGGGTTTTTTTTTCTTGAGAATGTTACTGCAATCATGTTGTAGTTTGCACAGACTTTTATGCATAATTCACTTTAAAAATATAGAATATATGGTCTAATAGTTTTTTAAAGCTTTTGGACTAAAGTATTCCACAAATCTTACCTCTTTAGGTCACTGATGGTCACTCCGATTCTGAGTGCCACATTGGTAGACTCCTAAAATACAGTTGACAACTTAGCCAATTGCAACTCCAGTGTTGATAATTAAAATGAAATGGTAAAGCAGCAGACTGTAAGGTCTTTAGAGATTTTTTTTTTAAGGTTCAGGCCGTAGGTTCCTCAAGGAATCTCTTAAGTTTTGCCCAAAGACTGGTACTTCCTTTCAGTAGGGCGCTAATGTATACACATTAATGATAAGTTGATAACATTAAAAATGTAGCTGACTTATCCTATTAAACCTCCTCTGCTATGTTCACAGATTCTGCATAGTTTTTTTTCAGCCTAATGAAATCTAATATGCATTACCTCAGGGCCACATCAAGAATACACCCCTTTCCGAACTCACTGAATGTTCATTACATTCAAGGAGAAAATAAGAGGGTCCATAAAGGGCATTAATAACAAATACCCCAAGCCGTTGAGCTAAGACTATGTGGAATCCTAATAGTTTTTTCCGTAATCTCCAACTATATTTAAAATAATGCCCTTCTAAATAGCTCTGTAAAGAGCCTATTGGAAGCTGCACATTTAAAAATGGCAATAGCACTGCAATATGCTGTAGCATGATGCCTGTCAGCCATGTTCCAGACAATTCCTTGTAAGTCATCTTTCATTTAAGTAAAAAACAGGTTATGAAGTACTGCCTCCCAGACCGGAAGTGCCATTCTAAAAACTCCACTATATATATCCTGGAGCCATAAAACTGCCTATTGGGAGGCTAAATGCTCTGCTTTTCTATAAAACAGAGATAAGGTTCTAGAGGAAGTACTGTTACCAGAAACAAGGCACGTTTCTTCTCTGCCTAGGAATGCTCATCTGGGGACAGAGGGAAGGTTCAATGAAAAGGAACTTATATTAACAAGTCCTACTACATGATGCAACCCATTTCAAATGACTCCTCTCATTTTGATCTTCAGGAATAACTGATCTCTGGGCATTGATTTCACAGATGAAGTCTACTATTGTTTTGGTAGTATTTAAAATTGGGATCTCAAGTTTCAAATTGATCATCATTGGGCTTTTCATGTGTATAGAACACCTTCACTCTGCATAATCCTACATAACAACATTCTTGTCTTCTAGTACATGAAAAAATTGGGGTAACATAGCATTTAAAGTAGTTATCAGGGAAAAGTCTATACTGAAGTGAACCCTACACTGTTATTCAAGTTGCCTTAACACATTATAAGCTATTATTCTAAATAGCTTTAACAGATTATTGTGGTCACACTGTATTACTAATAGTTAATTTAAAGGCAGACTCAGCATGTTTTAAACTCCTTTAAGTTACATCTTCAGAAAGTCCTGAAGTCCTTCAGTATTAGGTCAGCTAAGGGAAGATATATTTTTAAAAATAGTGATAAGACTATCACTAATATCATACTCATCCTGTAATATGTAAACACAGTTCTGTTGTTACTGGCAGAAAAATTGGAATACCCAGCATTAAGTGAGAGAAGTCAGCCTACTTTTATGATGAAGCTACTGGGATTTATTTGAACTATTATTTTTGTTAGATAGTATAAAAATGTTCTAAGTGCCTATTTTTCTCATTCCCCTTTTAAAAATGTAATGCTAAAATTTCTAGAAGTGTTGTAAACACGGAATACAAAAAAACTATGATTGATTACTCAAACTCTCCTTCCTTCTTAGTAAGGAAAATTAAAATTCCCTTTGGCTTTCTAATTTACTTGTTCTACTAGGTACACTAACAAAACTACTTCTGGCTGGGCGCGGTGGCTCACGCCTGTATCCCAGCACTTTGGGAGGCCGAGGCGGGAGGATCACAAGGTCAGGAGATCTAGACCATCCTGGCTAACACGGTGAAAGCCCGTCTATACTAAAAATACAAAAAATTAGCCGGGCGTGGTGGCGGGTGCCTGTAGTCCCAGCTACTTGGAAGGCTGAGGCAGAAGAATGGTGTGAACCCAGGAGGCGGAGCTTGCAGTGAGCGGACATTGCGCCACTGCACTCCAGCCTGGGCAACAGAGCAAGACTCGGTCTCAAAACAAAACAAAACAAAACAAAAAAACTACTTATGTGGAATATTAAATGCTAAGAGGAAAAGGAATGGTGATTACTGGTTGCAAAATACCCAAATGTCCTCTTGTTTTAAAGCAACACGATGAAATTAAAGCCCTGATGATTAGAAAGTTGAAGTATATGGGGAAGAGGGAATCACTGAAAATTTTGTGCCATCATTTAGCTAAGTCTGATGGAACACTGAAAAGTTTCATGTGAACGTTTCTGGGTAACTGTTGGAAATAGTTTCTCTGACTATTGGAATAGGTGTCTACCTCTGCAGCTAATTGTCTAAGAATATTGTATAGATATTTTTCATTGGTTCTTTACCCTTTTTACAATGAACTCAGTTGAGCTGCTGATTAAAACATCTAGGGTATGTTACAGAGTTGTGACTGTAAGAAGGTTTGACTATTACAATATACACATCAATCATATTTATACCAATTCTCTCTTGAATGTATCAGGCAAATTAAAAGCTTTGCTGGTTAAATTTAGCTACTTAGATAAGGCACACTCACTAATGCCTCCTCAAATTTCCTCTTTCACCAAAATCCAAGTCAGCTGCTCTTTGTTGACCTTAGTGCTGGGCCAACACCTAGTTGAACACTTAAACCTTATTAAGAAGAAAGGAATACATATTAGTAAACCCTAGAACTTGAGAAGCACTGTGAGAAAAAGGTTCTCATATTTACATAGTGGATATTACTTGCTTTTATCTTTTAACAGTAAAGGTAAACTTATATTAGAACTAAATGGGTCTAAATATTTGAAACTTTTATCGAGATTTCCAACTAGACAACCTTTATCTAAAAAATACCATTCTTTCACTTTAGATTGTTGCATGAGGAAGAGACTAGCATAGATCTGATCAGAGACACATCTAATATGCATTCCCAGTTTTCATCTTATATGAGAATTGTATTAAAGGACATTTCTAACTGTATACTATCATGCTACTTAAGACATGGGTCCAGATGGAGGAGCTGCTGAAAAGGATCAGGCTAAAATTGGGGAATTTGTCTCATCAAAAAGATTCAATTAATAAACGGATTAAAGTGAGGAAACATTTAACAAGGAACAGTGAGGATAAGAGAGTGGGATTCAATGTCTATTCAGTACCTATTATATGAGAGACGCTGGACTAGGCACTCGTCACGTTTCTGTGGATCCTAGTCTATACTCAGGAACACCCACTTATTAACGTTACTCTAGGCCCTTAGCAAGGATACATAAGAACTCTTGCACCAAGGGTCAAAATACATTGAAGTCTTCTGAGGATGTCCCTGTGCCCATAACCTAGATCTGTGTCAGAGTCCCTGTACCTGTTGCCCGGTTCCTATGGGCCAGGGCACTGATACTACATGCCTTCCGTGTGGAGTTCTGAGATTGGCTGCCCAGGTCATTAATTATGGGTTCAGGGTTGTAAGATCTAAATCCAGTGACTCAGCAACTCCTAATGACATCTACCTGGTTCCTCCAAGTCTGGATTCTCTACCTCTAGTCCTTGAGCTATGGCTGGACCCTGTCTTCTGTTTTCTCAAACTGATTAACATCTTGCTAATACTAATTCTCTAGCTCCAAACCTGGTCTGCCCTTTTGGACCTTGGATGTCCTACCACTCAAAATATTAGACTATGTCCAGAACAGATTTTCTGCCCCTGAACTTAAGTGGAGATCAGATGCCTATAAGATTCCCAAAATTGCCCCCTTTTTCTATTGATTCCTGTTACTATGACCTTTTCCCCATGAATCGCGCTAACCTACAACAGTCCCTCCAGTCTCTTGGCAGGCCCAAGTTACAGTGCTCCTTGAACGGATTAACTGCATTAATGGATTAGCATGCATTTATCCTAAACAAATAGTGCTTTACCAGGGCCATTAAATATGTGTAACTTAGTATCCTTTGAGTGCTATCTCCTTGGTGAATTCACTAGCCAAGAGTCTGGGCTCCAGGTTTGCAGGTTTAAGCTCATTAAAGGGAACAGAACACACACCCATTTGGAGGTATATTCTATGAAGGAAAGCCATAGCAGAAGTTAAATGATACCAGAATGTTGCTTGGAATGTTAACTCCGCTCTGACCAGTGTTAGGGGAATGACTTTAATTGATTAATAGCATCAATCTATGACAATCTGATGGCATTGTCAAGACAACACTAAGATTCATTCATGTTGAGGACACCTTCTGCACTAGATGGGTGTCTAGTTGGCCATTTCCCTTTGGTTGATGTATTTTTTCTTTTGGTGCATTCTCACTACAATCTAGGTAGGTTATAATGTCTTAAGTTATATGATGGCAGGAATGTTTGTCTGTTTTGTTCACTGCTATAGTCCCAGCTCCTATAACAGTGAATGAATAGTCAAATCCTGTTTTTTGGTAGATGTCTGCTTTTTTTTTTTTTTCCAAAGTAACTTCTTGTACTTGCACTTTTATCCACATATTGATTTTACAAGTTTAGTACTTATTTAAGGGTCTCTCCCTCTTGTCTTATGAATCTTTGACAGATATCCAACTTTTGGGCAAATAATTCGTAATGGAATAAAAAAAGAAATAGGGATTTTACATGAGAACAGTCCTTAAATCATTCCTAGAGACTATCTTAAAATAGAAGCACTGAGATGACATTCTTTCCACACAGGCATTGCATCCTGCCTCTATCTGCCATCACCTGTTTGGGCACTGCCAAATAGAACACTGTAATAATTTAAAAGTAGTAAAAAGTGTATCTTTATCAGGTAAAGTATCAAAAGAACAGTGACAAAATAAGTGGTTAAAAGTGCAACCCTTGGGAGAGAACTTGAGTTGGACAGTTTTAGTATGCTCTATATGTTAAGAATTTTTTAAAGCTCATATGGAAAAATAAGAACAGTTAGAAAAACTGTTAAAAAAAAAAAAGGTGGGCAGGGGAGGAATGAGGGAGGACCAATGCACTAGATTAAAACTAAAGCCTGGGTAATTAAAACAATGTGGTACTAGTGCATGACTAAATAGAGCAATGAAATAGAAACAGATACAGAGAAACAGAAGCAGATACACAGCTAAATACATATGACGGATTCTAAGATAAGATCAATGTAGCCTCTCAAACTCGTCAGGAAAAAACAAACAGTTCAATAAATAATATTGGAACAACTGGGTTAATCACCTGCGGAAAAAATTAGGTTAGATCCATAACTTATATCTTATGCCAGAATATGCTTCAGAGGTTCAAAATTTAGATGTAGAATTTAGGTGAATTACTCTATTGCTCTGGATTGAGAAAAACATTCTAATTATGACTCAAAATCCAGAAACCACTAAAAAAACTGGTAATTCAGACTACATAAAAATTTTTTAAAACTCATGACAAAGCCATCATAAGCAAAAGACAGATGACAAATTGGAAAGAAAATATTTGCAACTCATTACTGTCAAAGGGTTCATATCCCTAACAAATAAACAACATATCAACGATATAGTAGAAAAATGGATAGGAACAAAACAATATGGGAAACAAAAGGAAATACAAATGGCTCCTAAACATATTAAAAGGTGGTCAACCTTAGGCATAGTAAAAATTTACATACTGAGCAGTCAGGTGTGTGGCGTGCACCTATAAGCCAGGCTATTCGGGAGGTTAAGGCTGGAGGATCACTTGAGCCCACGAGTTTGAGGCTACGGTGAACTATGATCATACCACTGCACTCCAGCCTGGGTGATAACGTGGGACCCTGTCTCTTTTTTAAGGAAAATAAAAGAATGTACACATTGATATAAATTTTCATCTACCAGAATGGCCAGAATCCAACATTTTAATAACATCTACATTGGTAATGTTGCAGGTTAGCAAGTACTATCATAAATTTTAGATGGTATGTGAATTGATGACTACCCCTATGAAGGACAATATGCCAATATCTTTCAAAATTATAAATGCACACAGTCTTTGCCCCCAAAATTCTTATCTTTGGGAATTTATTCTACAGGTACAATATTTATATAAATGTGAAATGACATATGTACAAGGTCTGGAAACAACCCAGCTGCCCATTAATAGAGGACGGGTTAATTCAACACTGGCACATTCACATAACAGAATACCAAGTATCTACTTCAAAAAATGAGAAAACTATCTAGTCATATGTGAAGACTGCCAAGAAATACTAGGTGAAAAAAATGAAGTCGTATGTATATGATGTCAATTTTTGAGTAAAAATGAGAGAAAAAATAAGACTTTCCATTTGTATATGTTTGTACCTGTCTACAACAGTGTGAATGGAAACCTAAGAAACCAAGAGCACAGGCTATTCATGGTGGGAGATGAGTGTGCAGTGGAGGAAGCTGGGCCAAGGACACAGGAACACATTCACTGAATAACTTTTTATATTGTTTGTTTCTTTTAACCATGTGAATGTATTACCTATTCAAAAAATTAAATAAGATAAGCATATTTTATAAGCTTTATGATTCAATACAAATCAAACAATGCTTTTAATTGTTCCCACTTTGTAGCTGAATGGAAATAGGCCAACTTACAAAATGTCACAAAGGTTCTAGAATCAGTCTTTCTCGTCTCAAATTCTTGCTCCACAACCTAGAATTTGTGACTATGGACAGGTTACTTAGCCTTTTTTATCCTCAGTCTTCTTACTTATAAAACAGAGAAGTAATTGTACCTACCTACTAGTGCTATTGTGAAGATTAACGGTGTATTCTTTTAAAGCCAAACTATGCATGTAAAAGCCCTTAATACAATGCCAGCCAATGCTTGCCATTATGATAAGAAACAACCTCAGACTACTTATAAATACATTTTCTCCCTTCTCCACAGGTTACAATCAAATTCTCATGCCATAAAAAGAAACACTTAAAATAGCGGGGAAAAACAAGACAGAAAAGATTGCAGAAACATGTACTTTAATTCACATTTTCTAGATTCTGGTGGGTACAACAGTAAATTATTTGGAATTCTGTTCAAAATCAAAGCTGCACCTGTAGATATTCCTTAAAATACAGTACACATAGATTTGTGTGTGTGTTTTTTTACCAAATAATTTCCACGATACCATGCACCTAATCTGTGTATTTTGGTGAGTAGCTATGGTTTCTGCAGGTACCTCAGTTTGCAAACTACTGAGAGGTTTACTGTGAACTGTTCCCAAATTTTCAGCTGAAGGCAATGCTGATGAAGATCAAAATAGCTGTCCTTTCTTATATACAGTGGCACATAGGCAAAGTTGAAAAACATGGCAGAGTTTCATATACATACAGAGATTACAAATATCGAATAATTCACAATGTTAAAAATGTCAAAATAAAACGTTTTGACTTATCAAATTTCAAAAGTGTGGAGTCTTATTCTGTCTGATCCTCCTCATAATCTAAGAATCAAAACAGGAGAAACATTCAAAGTTTACCAATTTTAATATATAGTTTGTCTAACTTACATAGATGCCACTTAAGTAAAAAATAAACTTACGCCATTGAAGGAAGGAATATTTTCCTTTTCTTCATTTTCATTACTTCATCAGTGGGTACAATCATTTCTGTCAGTTATATTATCAAGTGCTGGGTTTTTAAATTAGGTGATGAGATAAAGACAAAATGCCAGAGCACCAGCAAAGCATTTTTACAATGCAAACAGTACTCTAGTATAATATCACTTCACGACAAAAGATGTGAATTGGAAAAACAGTTTAGATCACAAGAACCATAAAATGTCACCAGGCTCACACAATCATTTAAGAAATAAAAACACATACACAAAAATGTAGGCTGCCCCTACAATCTAATTTATGATAAAATAAGATGAATTTCAGCCTAAGAATACTTCATTTATTTTCTTAGTTGTGAAAAAATTAGTTAAGAACCTTAAAAAGAACTTTTTACTCTAACCAGATCTTTTAATTTCCTAGAACATACTCTAATATACTAGTTTTCCTAAGCTTGAAACAAATCACAGTACAGAAAAAAACAATAAATGGACATGAGCGAGGATTTTCTCCAGTAAACAGTTTAAATAATAGCCTTTAACTGAGGGAGTGGTGAAATAACACTATCAAAAAGTTCTTTACATTTAGAGTGATAAACAAAGTGCAGATTTTTCACATCTTAAACTCTGAGTGAATACTAAGAATAATTCTTACTAATTTACTAGTTAAATTAATTGGATAGTCACTTTTTAGACAGTTTGCCTTAAGGCCCCCCTCCCCCACCATACAATACTTGCAACCCTCAAGAAAAAGTAGAGGAGGCTCCAATCAAGTCAGCCTTTTAAACAACTTAACAAAAAATACTACCACCATCAACAACAAAACCCCAAGTTTATAAAGGTTTGAAATTAGGTGAGAAAATAAATAACTCTGAGACCTTAATACCCCCACCACATCCCACCAAGAGATGGCTAAGTATTTTTAAGAGGGGTGAGCCAAGCCAACTAAATACAATTTTTTAGATGTCACCAAATCATCAATGAACACATTTCAGACTTTGACAGGATAAAATATGGATTTAAGAGCACTTATTCTTTAATTCAGAAAAGACTAAAGAGTCTAAGGAAAAACTCTAGATCTTGTACCTGCATTACTTCTACACAGATGCAATCTTCCAAATTGTATCTGCTGACATTTAAAAAAAATCAAGATTTTAAATATTGTCTAAAGATTTTAAATCCCAGATTTAGAAAATGACAGTTTAGGACTGTTGGTATGAATCACAGAAAGTCCTCTGTTGGTATGAATCACAGAAAGTACCGTTTATATACAGTGAAAAGAAAAGGTGAGGGGAGAGTAAGCTTAAAGGAGGGTTGACCTAATCTACCTTTTTATATATCCTGTCAGGGAAAAGCACACTGAGTTCGAGGATTGCATAGATTGTATTCTAAAATAAATCCTTTAAAAATGCTTACTTTAAGTGAAAATAGCAAATTTTGTGTATATAATATTTTCAATTGGCATTATAAATTCATATAATCCCATTTAAATTTTATCAAGAAGTAATCTGTTAAATATTTCTGCAGTGTTTTCTTTCTAAAAGTAACTGACAATTTCCAAAATGTCTTTGTCCCTAAAATTTCTAGGGGCAGAGAAAAGCAAAATCAAAAGGAGTTCTAAGTAAAAGAACACTCTTGGGCCAGCCCATTACACACACAAAATCTGGCTGGGTAGCATAGGGGAGAGGTCTTGTTCACCTTTACCAAAGGAGGTCCTTTAGACTGGAAACAGCAACAATTACAGCAACTAAAAACTGCAAATAAAAACCAATGAAATTGAAGTCCTGGGGAATCTTCAGGAATTTCTGTAACTATGCATTGAAAGGGCCATTCATCATGGTGACAGTTCCAGATTCTAGAAATATTATAGTATTTCTTTATATTATAGAAAGTGACACACACACAGTGAGGCAAGGGTAAAAACACATTAAAAAGCATTGATAAATTTTTCTCACTGACACCAGCCCTGAGCAACATTTGTTCCCTAGTTCTCCTTTTCCATAACAGACTGAACAGTGTTATTAGAATGCAGACATAGCCATTTAAAGTTTGACAACTGGAAATAAAGGATAATAGAATAAAAACAAAACCAATTCTAAAAAAAATAGAATTTTCATTACATGAAAACATATGAAATTAAACACAAAATTAGTATAACTTACATGTTTTAAAAGTATATACTTCATTTATAAATATCTCTAGTTGATAATAATCTATTAAGAATCATAAATATTCAAGTGAGCATTTAAATTTTCTATTTAATAGTTCAGAATTCTTGAAGTCAGATTAGTGTCTTTCTGATGAATGTCCATAATTAAAAGGCTTTCCACAGTCACTTTATGTCTCTAGTTAGACACATAAAAGCCTTTATTACCTACTGTGTTGTAATAAGACTTTAAAATTCTGTAAGTCTCTTATACTTGTAGAAAGCCTATGGAAGAAAGAAAAAGCTTATTAGTAAGGCTAACATGTTGCATACTGTTTCAAATTATTGATATTGTTACATAAGCTATAATTTGAAAGCAAAACCTAAAATAAAAAACCTCAAACACTGAAGCTTCCATGTTTAAATTAGTGTTCTCATTAAGACTGGTTTAGAAGGGGCAAAGGAAGCCTGTTACTTCATACTATCTACAGACATTAGATTAATAATGGGAACAGTGATATGAATAATTCTTAATAAAGAATCTCAAATCATTTACAATTGGTCTAATAAATTTATTTTGCACATTCCTCTTCAAATGATTGCTCTTTACTCAATGTTCCCCAAACACACTAATTTGTCTTATGTTGTTAGCTCCCTAAGGGTAAAGACTCTATTTCATCTCCTGCTGAGTCTCTCTCCTGTGCCCCATACCCATTGATGCTTATAGTATTCAGTAAATGATTACTGACTGACTAAATGAAGTGCTTCTCAGCCCAGGCCAAAAAGTAAAACTCTGGGATGGGAAATATAAAAAAGTAATTCTAAAAGCTCAAGTATCCCTATGTACAATTCAGGGGTGATAGAAGAAAAATCTTTAACTATTTGATAGAAGAAAAATTATTCCTTAATCACTTAGGAGGACAGGCAATGTTCTAAGCCCATCACATATATGATCTCATTATCAGGAAACAAACTAGGAAAGCAGTGATTTGCCTGAGTTCATACCACTACTAAAGGGCAGGCCAGGATTCCAGAACTTTAGGACCCCTGATTCTGAGTCCATTACTCTAGGGAACAATAAAAGGTAATAAGCTCTAGATATAGAACTAAAACAAGAAAGGCTGCATTTGTGAATATTTTTTATGAGATCGAAGGAAATTTTCAATTGTTTTGAAATTCTCAATTGTTTTCATCTTTCTCAATTTAATTTGGACTTAAGAGATGCTTAAGTTATTTACAATATTTTTCATTTCAATTTATTTAAATTTCATTCAGTATCTCCTGTGTTATCTTTCTACAGGCCTCATAAGTGGATGGACTGAATTTTTTATGAAATACCAGTTAATGGATAGTCTATATCTATCCTGTGTCTGAAATCTCAACCTACATAGTCATCTTTAAATACAGGGAAGCAACAGCTGAAATCCTTGTTATTAAGATGGGAAATGGCCAGGTACAGTGGCTCATGCCTGTAATCCCAGCACTTTGGGAGGCCAAGACAGGAGAATCACTTGAAGCCAGGTGTTTGAGACCAGACTGGACAACAAAGTGAGACCCCCATCTCTACAAAAAAAATTTTTTAATTAGCCAGGCAAAATAGCATGTGTCCGTAGTCCCAGCTACTTGGGAAGCTCAAGTGGAAGGAACGCCTGACCCCAGGATTTGGATGCTGCAGTGAGCCATGATTGTGCCACTGCATTCCAGCCTGGATGACAGAGCGAGACCCTCATCTCTTTTAAAAAAAAAAAAAAAAAAAAAAAAAGCAGGGGACATATAATAAATCTGTTTTTAATTTAACTGCTTCTTTTTAACTTAAAACACATGTTAAGAAAACCAAGAAATAATCTTTGTATTACTTAGTCCCCTATTTTTTTTTTTTTAATTCTTCCTCAAGTTGACTTTTTTCTCTTTTTCCCCAAGGAAGCATAGTATTATTTTCTGTGATTCTTTTCCTTCTGTTCTGTATTCCTCAGTTGGCATTACATGTATCTCTGCTGGCAAATTCAAATTATTTTTTAAACCACTGGTGATATAAACAAGCAAGCAAATTATATGTCTCTATACAGAAGTAAATCATGTAGAAATGAGTGAAAGAAAAATGACCTCTGAGCTTCAGAAATAAAGAGCATAGTGCAGGAAAAAGGTGAGAAAAGAAAAAAATAGTAATGAAAATTTAAGAAAAATAAGGAGCAGATGAAGGTTTTAATTTTCTTTTATCACCTTCTCAATCACACATTCCTTACTCCTGCTATTGTAGTTGAACAAGTTATAGCCAAGCAAAAAGAATATTAGAAGAATATCTCCCTTACAAAATTAAGGCAGCAAACTGAAAAACACTGGCAATTGGAAACTTAGTTTTTCCTATGACCTGTAGAGAAACTGACTTGTCAGCATTAAGGCCTCTCTAAGTTAGTACAGATACAATATAAAATTTTTTTTTGTCAACAAAACAAACCCTACTTTTAGCAAAGAAGATTATCTTTGCAGTTTGTTGAAACCCAATGGGAAATCAAAAATCTTCAACATATAATGGTTCTTACCTTCCAAAAGCATTTAAAAGAGCAACTATTTCCTGTCGGGTGAGTTGGAAGCCTTTAGATGGACTATTCTCTGGAAGCTTTTGGATTTCTTTTTCAGAGAATAATATCTTCAGGGCAGTTCCTAAACCCTGAGTCTAAAGAAAATAGCAATAAACTCATAATTAACTTTAAATAATAATAACTAGTAAAAAGGCTTAAAGGAATATATAGCCACTGTTATGCCAGTTAGGAAATTCATATGAACTGAGCTTTTCACAAAAATATTACTACAGTTTCTACTTTCTCACAGGTTATGCATATAATAAACACATCTGAGCAGTTAAGGAAACCTGAATAGTCTTAACACTTATTGAATACATATCATACTATTCCAAATTATTAAAATGACTTTTTTAACCTTGAAAATACCATATTAGGATTACAATGTTCAATTTGTAACCATAAAGGACTTTTTACAGCTTTTAGCAATTCAAAACTCAGAGATTATTGATACCCACACTTAATAATTTCTCAATTATTAGCACTATAGAAAAAGACATTTTATTTCAGTATAGCCTCCACTGTAATAATTTTGTCTCTTAATTTTCTATAAGTTACCATCTTTGTTAGAAAGAGATAAAATATTCAACAATCCTTTTGACACTGGCTTACACAGAGTAATGGACCTGTCTTGCGGAGCTTTCCTGTTTTGACTAAGTGACCTTCTTTTGCTCATTTATACAAATTCAATGACCAAGACTTCATATTTCAATCTTTTTATGTAATTACATTTTACCTTTCTATATACATATGTAAAATACGGATATACTCGGTTCGTAATGACCACCAACTTCACAAATGAATCTGGTATTGTATCAATAGAAACATAGACACAATAAAACTAAAATCACTAAAGAATAATATGAGAAACATCCTTTCACATACATGTAACACATATACTTTAATTTTTTCATCAACAGAAAAAACACCTTGGATCTGCCTATTCCTAAATTCTAATTCAATGAACAATGAGGACATTTTAATAAAAAGCTTGGACTCAGTGGAAAAAATAAAGGTTAGTAATGGCTTCAAAAGAGAAGACAACACATATACCTGTAATTTTCCCCATAATCTGCATTTGTCACATCCAACACAGTCCATTATACGGGAGATATTCTTGAAATGTAATCGGAATTCCTCCTAGCAAGCAGAAAATATTTTCAGTCTAATTAGACTTTTAAAATTGAACCGCATTTGGCTAAACGATAAGTAAGTTTTGATGCTTATTAATAAATCAGTTGTGTTTTTTGTTTGTTTGAGAAGGAGTTTTGCTTTGTCGCCCAGGCTGGAGTGCAGTGGTGCCATCTCGGCTTAGTGCAACCTCCACCTCCCAGGTTCAAGGGATTCTCCTGTCTCCTCAGCCTCCCAAGTAGCTTAGATTATAGGCGCATGCCGCCATGCCCAGCTAATTTTTGTATTTTTAGTAGAGACGGGGTTTCGCCATGTTGTCCAGGCTGGTCTTGAACTCCTGGCCTCAAATGATCTGCCCACCTCGACCTCCCAAAGTGCTGGGATTACGGTGTAAGCCACCATACCCAACCCGAGTTGTGTTTTTCAACAGTAAAGAAAAATACTTGATACTTGTATACTATAACATGGTACATAAAATACTGACATTAATGGAAATTAATAAAATTCATTCTGCATATTAATTCACTTTCCACTGAGGAGCTACTTTATGCAAAGCACCAAAATATGCACTATGGGAGATACAAAAGTAAATAATACATGGTCTTTACTTTTAAGGAACTTAATTGCTGCTTCCATTTGTTATCTACATACAACCAACAATAAATATGTCTAGTTTATGTTTCACTTATTTTTGATCCTTTGCTTTGTGTAAGCCTATATCAGAAAGCTAGTCCTAGAACAATGATCAATTTTTGTATCACTCCTTAGTACCACACTATGTTTGTCATGGTTGCTCAATCAATATGAATGATAACAGGCCTGTGTGACACATATGGTCCCACAGTCCTCTACATTTGCTAATGCAGTTGTTATGGAGATGCTTACTGGATCCCTCTATTTTGCTGTAATAGTTTCCCACACTGGTCAGGCAGGGTGGCTCACGCCTGTAATCCCAGCACTTTGGGAGACCAAGGTGTGATCACTTGAGGTCATAAGTTTGAGACCAGCCTAAACAACATAGTGAAACCTCATGTCTACTAAAAATACAAAATCTGCCAGGTGTGGTGGTGCATGCCTGTAATCCCAGCTACTTGGGAGGCTGAGGAAGAAGAATAGCTTGAACCCGGGAGGTGGAGGTTGCAGTGAGCCAAGATCGCACCACTGCACTCCAGCCTGGGCAACTAGAGTGAAACTCTGTCTCAAAAAAAAAAAAAAAAAAAAAAGAGAAGTTTCCTACACTGGGGAAATTCTTCTGCCTATAAGCATTTGTGTGCAATATGCCTTTAAGGTTGGTCTCACTTTATCTGCGGATAAGATTGGTTAAGAGAAAATTTCCTCATTTGTTTCACATGGCAACTGCAGAAAATAAAAATCATTTTATTGCATTGAGGGAAATATTTTATTGCATGAAGCGGGAGGCAAGTAGCCTGAAAACTCTGGCTACCACAAGCCCTGACCAGCTGCCAGAGGGTTGAAAGGAATCAATACCTTGGCAAAGAAAGACAATATAAATAGAACACAAAAACTCCTGTGCTGGTCATATTCTCATGTAATGTAAGTTCTTTGCAGCAGATGGAAAAGGGACATAGGTTCTCCTTCATACATTCTTGACAAACAGCAAACAAAATCCCAGCATTGTGTAGTTAAAAGCTTGCTGTGAGACACTTAGGCTTTGCTTAGTCTCACTTTCCTCATCTACAAAAACATACATAATTATAGTTGCCCTATTACACAAGATCATTCTGAAGATTAAAAGTAGAACATATGTGTTGATACTTAGAAAACAGGAAGCATTATAAAAATGAATTAACATACAAAATACCAAAATGGCAATATACCTCTAAAACAACTGTAAAATAAAACAACCTTCCAACACTAAAATATAGTTGTGACTAAATTACTTATTTCAGAAATACCAAGAAAGTCTCGCCAAAGGAGAATCACTCAGTATTGATTTATTGGTTCCTATAGTACATCCACATCTAAAACATCTTGGGGTCAAATGTGTTTTAGAATTCAGAAGTTTTTAAATTTTAGAAATACAGTACATGTACTGTATATTATGAAACATCTCACCAGAGTGTGAGGAAACACCCTGCAGTCAAATCCGTTAATGTTTCTGTAGCAAAATATAAAAAATTCATACCAAGCAGAATTTGAAAACAACCCCACAAAACTACGAATATCTGCTATATTCTTACACCAGTTTAGGTCAGGTTTTGCTAAAAAATTACCTTGCACTAAACATAAGAAAATGTTTCAGTTTTTGAAACTACCCGGATTTCAGAAGTACATATAAAAGACTATGAAGTTGTACTCAAAGATTATTTGTGGCCAGGTATGGTGGCTTGTGCCTGTAATCCTAGGTACTTGGGAGGCTGAGGTGGGAAGACAGCTCAGGGCCAGGAGTTTGAGACCAGCCTGGGCAACATAGCGAGACCCCATCTCAAAAAATAAATTTAAAAGTAAAAAAAAAAAAAATGCCAATTTCAAATACTTTTATGAACATTTTAAGGGTACAATTTGTTTCTTAATGTACTTTAAGCAAATGAAAATAAAGAACACCTAACATGAAGTTTGGTAATGTTCCCAAAACATATTCTCCTTCTGATGTCACATGTTAACAGGTAGTTTTAACCTTTTAAGTTAGTCCAAAGGGACAAAAACATAATATATGTTTCAAAAACCGTAACATTCCATAAAATAAACTTTAGAAAAATATTTATTGTCCTCAAAGTGGCTAAAAGCTCATGGTATTCTGAAAGCTGCATCAAAACGACAATATACACTGCTTTTAAACTAAGAAAACTTTCCCTCAACTAGTATCTTTTAAAAAGACATTTATAAAGGTGTTATAGGACATACTAATGACCAATGATTCACTAAGCAGTTGGTCAATGGAACTGAGAAATATGGAAAGGCTTTTTGTACCATTTGTATTAAAATCCAATCAGACCAACTCTGACAAGAAGCTGGAAAACTGGGAAAGAAAACAGTTTGGATGCACAGCATTAAAGCATAACCAGCAAACTGCTCCCAACCCCGTGTCCCAATCGAGAACTTTTTACCTTTAGTGACTTGGCCCCTTTTTTGTCACCTGCAAACATGGATTTCTCATCAAAGTGCATGGGAAAGGACCTGATAAAATGATAGTATTGGATTAAGTTACACATGAAAAATCCACGTACTCTGTATCAGAAACCTGATAAAATTTTCTATCCTTATGAATATTTAAAATTCATTATTTACTCCGATGTAAGTTTTGGTAATGTAGAAAAGTGACAAACAGTTCACACATAAACTATTTCATAAAAGACTAAAGCAAGACACAGATGGCTGTTAAATTTAGTAAGACTGTAATGTTTTAAATAAATGACACAGGTAATCTAAAAAATTAACTGAAAACAATCTATGTAAAAAATAGGCAATATTCCCTTAATATTCTTTAAAAATTTAATACATAATTTACTTTAAACACTTTTTAATCTTTCTCTTCCAGGCTATTTTAAAAACCAGTTAACTCAAGTTTTCTTGACCAAGCGTTTTGTTTAAAAGGTTATATTCTAGAAGATAAGGCTAATGTTTCCTTACATATCCATCCCAATGCAAACACATGTATATTATCATCTAAATTTAAATATAGTGACTAGAGGCCAGGCGCGATGGCCCATGCCTCTAATCCCAGCACTTTGGGAGGCAGAGGAGGGTGCATCACTTGAGGCCAGGAGCTTGAGACCAGCCTGTCCAACATGGTGAAACCCTATCTCTACTAAAAATACAAAAATTAGCTGGGTGTGATGGCACACACCTGTAATCTCAGTTACTTAGAAGGCTGAGGCACAAGAATTGCTTGAACCTGGGAGGCAGAGGCTGCAGTGAGCCAAGATTGTGCCATTGCACTCCAGCCTGGGCAACAGAGCAAGCCTCTGTCTCAAAAATAAGTAAGTAAATAAAGTGACTAGAAGAATACAAAATTGGTAGAAAGACCATTAAAGTAGCACTAAATTTTGATACTACATAAAATTTAGTGATATTTTAAAGCACTATTCTCAAGTGTGAAAATTTCTGCAAAAGAAAGCCTTATTAATGCTTTTTCATCAACATTTTCAGAAATATTTTTAAATTCTGTTGTTCTATTGATCACTTTCCTTTTCTGTTCTACATCTCCCCTCGGTTAACTTTTAGGAGTCAGTTTTTGTGTACTTTAAGTGCTACCTCATTTGAATACAGAGAGGAGAATTTCAAATCACGGATAGTCAATTCTTACTTTGTATCTTGAAAGATATTCAGTAGAAGAGTTTTTGTGTCAGCATCTTCTTCTGCATTTCCAGTGTAAAGATCGACAATTGAGCGCTCAAAATATGGAGCCACCTTTGACAAAGCTCGAAGCTCAATCAAGTATAAAAAGTAAAGATTCTTGAGCCTTCTTGGACCTTCTCCCTTGGTTTCCACAGGGTCAAAGCGGTGTTTGAATTCTTTAATATTAGGTCCCCAACTGGGCTTACCCCAGGTTTCTAAAGAGAAAGAGAAATACATTACATTGTTTTAGTAAACAGGATTTTTTTTCTGCTCTAAAGAATATGTATTCTCTCCAATAATTTTTACACTAATAGAAGGCAAAATCTCGACTTAAAAATATGATTACCTTCCAAAAGATAATTTGCGCATAGATGTAAATTGATGCTAGCATGAAGTCCCGATATAAGCTTATAGAAGACTCTTTTCTCCAGACACAAACCTATTCAGAAAAATATTGAAAAAGAAATTACACCTATTTAGATATCAGAAATATTGACTCAAGGAGGTTCAGTATGTAGGCTTATTTTTGATTGAAGAACATTAAAATAAATCAAGGAATAATATAAAACTGATTAGATCAAGATTCTCTCACTAGAAGGCAAAGTAAGATTTTGGCTTCAGAATGGAGTTAACTGAATATGATGAGAACTTAATGCTGAAAAAAGCAGAAAAGTTTGAGCAACTAGGGGTCAAAACACTATGGATAAAGTTGGCAAGTTCCCATGTTAGACAGCAACAGCACAGGTTTTCTTGTGGTTTAGGCTAAGAACTTACTGAAGTAAATGTAATTATAAAGTCACTGCTGGATTTTTCCCCCTTCCTTATATGTGTTATTTGCTAGCAGAGAAATAAGGGTTTTATTAACCTTCTGCCCTGAAATTGTCTAATTTTTTAACCATATGTTCTACTTGTAAGGAGCTGAAACTTGGAAAACAGAAATCCAGGAATTTCAACTAATTAAAAAAAGAACAACAAGTTGACTGTTTACTACTTCAGTGGAATCATATCAGTGGAGTACAGGAATATAACAGAACGTTATTTGATGTAGCCTTCTTAAGCCACAGGGGCTTTTTTGCTGAGAACTTAAGAGGTCAAGATATCCCGTCATCCTATCCTAACCCCTGCCCCCATTTTAAAAGATTTTCTCTCATAATAGGAGTAATACACATTGTGAATGTATTTAATGCCACTAAACAGTAAACTTAAAAATGATTAAGATGGTAAATTCTTAAATAAATAAAAATGCAGAAAATTTTAAGAAGTCACTGGATACACGGCCATGAGCTTTTCCCTCCTTCATCCAACAGGTTTTTAACACTTTCCCCATGCAGGAAAATGGGCTTTAATAGTGGAAAGCAAAATAGTCTCATTTATATGATGGGGGAAATTTTTTTTTAATGTAAGAGTATGTGGTTTTCTTTGTGTCTATTAAGATTTTCCAGCAATTCACTCTCTCTTTCTGTCCTATCACAGATGATTCTGAAGCACGTGGCCTCTAACTAGAAAAAATAATTCTTTTGAGTTCTCGTTCCCTAATTGGGAATTCTTGCTAGAATATTCAAATTGTCATGGATGGGGACCAAAAGAAATTGAATTTTATTTTGTAGCTTCCTCCCTAAAAGTATATGACAATTTTGAATGTTTACGATAACAATGGATACAAACAATATGAATATATTTAATACAACATTAAGTACTAACTTCTCTTCTACTAAAACTTTTCATCAGATCTATTATCAAGTAACAAAATATCAGATTTGAAGTTCACTTTATTTTCTTCCCAACCTCTCTCTCTAAGCAGTGCTTATGTCCAATAAAATGGATAAAGACAAGAGAAGGGACAGTAAGCAAAGCAAAACTCATGAAAATCCATATGCCTACAAACCAGGACCTGGAAAACTGGGAGGCAGTTATAATTTGCAAAGCCCACAAAGCCCCTACCACTGCAATGAGGTAGGGGATAAGTGAGGGGAGAGGAATAGAAATGTATTTCCACAAACTGTGAAAAACAGGTAACTTTAAGCAAATTAATAATAAAATATGCACCAAGTAAGTGCACCCAGACACACAACACACTTAGCAGGAAATTGCTGGAGAGCTTCTCCTGGCCTACACACAGTCTGTGCCAGGCTGGATGGTATCTTTAATTACCGAGGTCCAGGCAAAAGCCTTCTCAATCTCACTCTGAAGTGACATCTGCAAAAGCTGACTTACCAAGGCAGAATCCACCAACTTCTAACAACATAGAGCAATTCAATTACACAATTTAGAAAATGGTTCTCTTCTTCCTCTTTTCGATTTAATTTCATTAAAATGCATTTTCAGCACTTGAACTTTCAGAAAGGGGTTGCATTTACTGTAACAGTAATATTTGGCATTTGGACGTGGATTTGTGGTTTCCAAAGGAACCTTTACAGGAATCATCTACACTCACAGTGTAAGTAGGACTGCTATTGCTCCTCTCCACGCTCCAGATGAGGAAACTGAATCTCAGAAAAGGTTGAGTCAGCTGCCTATAAGGGAATGCTCTTTGGAACCATGTATCAATATTCAGATACTCAAAACAGTAAGACTGGAAGAATGGTTGATATAATATACATAGAATCCAATATTGTTTCTAAATTTCATTCTCATTACTAACACTCAGAGTCTCTGACTACCTTTTCTAGCCTAAATGCTACTTTTCACAATTTGTATCTTTAGAGTAGAGCTTATTAAACAAAGCTAAACATCTTCTACATAAGTGATTTTCTCATATAACTCCTAACAGAATTTGCACATCAATAATGTTCACCTTAATAATGGCCAACATATGCACATAGTTCATTACAAACAAAGAAATAGGCCAGGTATGGTGGCTCACACCTGTTATCCCAGCACTTTGGGAGGCTGAGGTGGGCAGATCACTTGAGGCCTGGAGTTCAAACCAGCCTGGCCAACACGGCGAAACCTCATCTCTACTAAAAATACAAAAATTAGCTGGGTGTGGTGGCGGGTGCCTGTAATCCCAGCTATTTGGGAGGCTGAGGCAGGAGGATCACTTGACCCTGGGAGGCAGAGGTTGCAGTGAGCCGAGATGGCGCCACTGCACTCCAGCCTGGGCAACAGCGAGACTCTGACTCAAAAAAAAAAAAAAGAAATAATATTCATAAGATAACATGACCAATTGACATGCATAAAATAGAATTAGTTTTACTCTGTAGTATTCCTATAAGGTTATGGCTATGAAATATCAATTTTCCTATGTCATTCTACTTGCTTATCTGTTACTAATATATTTTAATTTTTAATTTCATATACTAATGGCAATTTGGTAAGGTAAATTTTTAAAAGCATCATATATCCAGTTATTAACCTGAGTTATTAAAATCCTACAACATTTCACCTTTCCATTAATAGCATTTGATATTTTCAACACTGGAAGTACAAGAATGCAAAAGCATCTAATATATCAGGATCTATATTGCTTTATCTTTTAATCAGACAAGGTTAGACTATATTAACGTGGCAAATATGTTTCGAATCTTTTGAATTCATATTTATCTTCCATTAATTTTATATATAAAAAGTACTTCCTTCCAAAAGGAATGTCTCCACTTTTAAAATATTTTGCATACTCGTTACTAGAGAAGTAGTTTGAATGAACATTACATACAGAACAGAAATAAGATTAGGGAACCAGTTATGAAAACCTGATGACAGTATTTGGCCTGTGTATTTATATAAACCTGGTTTTTAGCTGACCACTATCTTCAAACTTTTCACATAATTTTATCCCCATATGTTAACCTAAAACACATTTTTTTTTTCAAACTGTCAAAATTAGTTGACTAGGTAATAAAATCCTAGACCTTACAAAAATATGCTAAATAAATCAGTATTTTTTAACAAAAAATCCAATAAATTTAGAACAGACTGTTTACCTTCTAGCCATGTGTAGAATGATTCTCCTGAGAGAGAGAGAAAAGTGGATTAAAACATTATATGGTCATTTATAAAGTAGAATAAATTAGGTTTATAAAATCTTTCTGCAGGGCATGGTGGCTCATGCCTATAATCCTAGCACTTTGGGAGGCCGAGGTGGGCTGATCACTTGAGGCCAGGAGTTTAAGACCAGCCTGGCCAACATGGCGAAACCCCATCTCTACTAAAAATACAAAAAATTAGCCGGGTATGGAGGTGCAGGCCTGTAATCCAGCTACTCGGGAGGATGAGGCAGGAGAATTGCTTGGACCCAGGAGGCTAAGGTTGCTGTGAGCCGAGATCATACCACTGCCCTCCAGCCTGGGTGACAGAGTGAGACCCTGTCTCAAAAAAAAAAAAAAAAAAAAAAAAAATTATGACAGATTAAGTAATCTCTCTAAAATGTCTACTGCTTCAGGTAAAATAGAAAAATAACCATATGGTTCTAGGAAATAAAACCTACAAATAATTTAAGTAACTTTAAGAGAGTGTTTTTACAAATATTTTGACTATTAAATTTTTTAAGAAAACATTTCAGTCAAAATATGAGCTGGCCACAGTGGCTTGGACCTGTAGCCCCAGTTAACTCAGAAGGTTGAGGGGGAAGGATTGCTTGAGCCCAGGAGATCGGATCCAACCTGGGCAACATAGCAAGATCCTGCCTCTTTTAAAAAAAAAAAGTATATAAATCTTATTCATTGAAGGTGTAAATATCTGAAAACATAGGGCAAACATTTTAACGATCTCAAATTTGCTTTTCATAACAACCATAGTGCTTTTTAAATATTCCAAGAAAATAAGGAATTATAATTAACACAAACGTCCAACTATTGATTATTCCATTTTTCCTAATCCAATAAAACTAAAAATATTTCCTCAATTTTCTAAGACTAATAAGTTTTAAGGGACAGCTAAAAAATCTCTTAATTTTCAATATAATTCTTCAGGAAAGTTAATAGAATACAGAAGGGCTTGACTAATCTGTGTACTAATGCTGAAGAACATTCCTGGGGTCAGGGAGATGCTGGTCAAGGGATACAAAATTTCAGTTAAAGAAATGCAGTAAGTTCAAGAGATTTATTGTAGAACATGCTGACTACAGTTAATTACAACGTATTGTATTCTTGAAAATTGCTGCGATTTTAAGTGTTTTCGCCAAAAAAATGGTATGTGAGCTAATTAGCTCAATATACCCATTCCACAATGTATACATATTTCAAAACATGTTAAACACTTGAAAAAAAAAAAAAAAAAGAACCATTCCTGGCCCTGTAACCTTCTTCTGAGTTGGGGAAAGAGAAAGAAAAGAGAGCAGTCAATAAGAATCAAAATTGTTAATGCACTTCCTGCGTTACCTATCCTTGATGTTGTTTTTTTTTAAATTGAGAATGATAGAAATTATAGAAAAACCGAACACTCAGATGAGCTGAGTAAGGAGTCTAGGGATAAACTAGACGGTGGGGAATTACTTTGCCTCCTGAGAGTCTTCATACTTTGTACAAAAATGAAAACGTCTAACAAATTAATTCATTCAACATATAGTAAGGATCATTTATCATTATATCACTTGTGATTCAAAACACCTCAAGTGCCAACAGGAAAAGTCTAGTACCCAACGTACTAAAAAATATGGCCTCTATCAATCTAATTTAAACTACCACTATATAGTCTTACCTACCACTAAAAGGGTCTCTTTACTGTCTCCCCAAACATGCCTGACTTGTCTCAACTCCCAGCTGCATGCTGTTTCCTCCAACATGCACTATCCAATTGTACGGATCTAAATCTGTCCCATTATTCAAAATTCACCTCAAATGCTACCCCTCCTCCAGTAAGCTTTCCCACATCGCTCCTGTGAGATACGATCTGTTTCTCCTCTAAGGAGCTATATATATCACCTACTGTTTGTACCATCTATGGAGTATTTCTTTACCTCATTACCATTGTTTATGTACAGTGCTTATCTTTCCTACTATCCTATATATCCTCAGCTCCTAGAGGGAAAGCACCATGTTTTAAACATCTTCCTACCCTGGACAATGCCCATCAGTGCCCCTGAACACAGAGAGGTAAACATTCAGTTGAAATAATTATTTTGGCTATTTTGGGGGTATCTTTTAACCAACATTCATTCAATAATCAATTGTTAATAAATTGCTCGTCATCAAATTAAGTATTATATTGATACCTGAGGTTAGAAATTTCAGTCAATAAGAAAATAAAGAGGTCACAAGACAAATTATCTGGTAAAACTACCTTAACTCCTTCTCCCCACTTCCTCAGGACATATTCAAGTAAATTATATAATAACCAGAAAATGGGGAACTTGTAATGTGAATTGATTTACAAACTAAGCATTTAGGAAAAATGGTCTTTTTTTTTTAACATAGGATAACTTGATATATATAAAATAATCTTTTTTTTTTTGGTCACCATTCATTAGTAGCTATTTTCTTAGAAAACAGGAATACTTTCTTTTGAATTCCATAAAGGAAAAATCAAATTCTGATTGTTACAAAAAATTTCCTCCACACTTGAAACAAACAAACATGAGTTTTGCTCACCATCATCTTCGCCTAAAAGAGAAAATAATAGAAAAGATTTTAGAAAATGTCTTACATAGCTCAGATCCCAATACTATTTTTTGAGATTAAAACTGTTAAACTATTAATTATATCACAAACCTTGGTCACTGAGTAGACGCCCTGCAAATGAGTCCTCTTAATCAGAATACAGGTCAAAGAGTATAAGATTTGCACATTTTGGCCAGGCGTGGTGGCTCACGGCGGTAATCCCAGGACTTTGGGAGGCCAAGGTGGGTGGATCACCTGAGGTCAGGAGTTTGAGACCAGCCTGGCCAACATGTGAAACCCTGTCTCAACTAAAAATACAAAAATTAGCCAGGCATGGTGGCATGTACCTGTAATCCCAGCTACTTGGGAGGCTGAGGCAGGAGAATCACTTGAACCCAGGAGGTGGAGGTTTCAGTGAGCCAAGATCGCGCCATTGCACTCCAGCCTGGGCAACAAGAGCAAAATTCCGTCTCAAAAAAAAAAAAAAGAAGAAGGCTGGGCACGGTGGCTCAGGCCTGTAATCCCAGCACTTTGGGAGGATCACCAGGTCAGGAGTTCAAGATCAGCCTGGCCAAGATAGTGAAACCCCATCTCTACTAAAAATACAAAAAATTAGCCAGGCGTGGTGACCGGCACCTTGTCATCCCAGCTGCTCAGGAGGCTGAGGCAGAGAACTGCTTGAACCCAGGAGGCGGAGGTTGCAGTGAGCCGAGATCACACCACTGCACTCCAGCCTGAGTGACAGAGTGCGACTCTGTCTCAAGAAAAAAAAAAAAAGATTTGCACATTTTAAAATACAATAACATCAGAAAGCAACTAAAAAGTCATAAAGACCACTATTTTCAATAATTAATTAATTACTACATAAAGTTGCTCCTTTAATCATTATGCACACAATCCTCTCTGAACATTACTGTTTCCAACCTGGAATATTTTTCTCTTTTAAATTACTGCTCCTCAGCAGAGACAGGCCTTAGTAAGAGTATATCCCAAACTGTAATCAGTGAAACCCTTGGGCAAGGTGCTGCTTCCAGGAGGCCTAGAGGTGAGGAAGAGGCCAGAGGTTGGGCTCTAGGGCAACACAGCAGCTCTGCCTATCAGCTTTATTATGTAGGTTCTGAAATAAGATTTCATTTTTGGACAAAAGTTCCTATTGCTCAAAACCTGTTAGAAAATAGTTGTATAAGCCTAGGGGTTATGACTCAGAAATGTGGAAGAAAGAGTTAAGAAGATTAAAGAACTATTAATCAACCAATTTCAATGGAGATAGCAGGTAAATAGCAACAGCAAGAGCTATTAATTACTTCATAGAGTACTCCTATAACAGCTAGGAACCATTCTCTTTACCTAGTCTTGTCTTCTTTCATATTTCATTTTTCTTCTTTTCTCCTCTTCCCTTCCTCTTTTTCTATGTAGTAGTTTCCTTTTCCTCATCTTTTCAGCAGTGTTATGTCTCTGATATATCACTAACATGGAAATGAAGTGTTTCTTAGGACTTGATGGTTTTCTTAAGTGAAAAAATTGTATTTTCTGCTTTAAAAGTATTAAGTGGCTGTAGAAAAGGTCTGGAAGAACACCTTTCAAACTCTGTACTATGGAATAGAAGAGCTTTCCCTTTTCACTTTATATAACTACTATATTGCTTCAATTTTTATAAAATTTTGTTTAATTAAAACCTTTAAGTTGAAAATAGAAAAGTTGTGAGGCAAAAGTAGTAAAAGAGACAAAGGATAAGAAGCCAGGCACGTCTTTTTCAGGACCAACTTCCTTCTCCAGGCAGTTTCAATGTGAATTTGGGGAAAACAAGTATTTGCCACATTGTGACAGAGTGAGCATGAAAAAGCAGTCTATGCAGTCAACCCTTCCAAGTCTATTTGGTTCTCAGAAAGGTCTAAAGATACAAATTTAGATCAGGAAATCAAATTTCTTAAAACACTCCCCGTCTAAAGAAAACACTGGAATGGCAGGTCAATGACAGAGTTGCTCCCAGGGTTTGGTTCCTCACTGAGAACAGACTGAGGATGTATCCCACTGATGACAGTAATGCTGTTCCATTGAAATATAACGCCACACACGAGTGTTAACTTAAAATGTTTCTAATAGCCACATTTTTAAAATTCAAAAGTATACACACACTACAACAAAAATATGTTACATGACGCATAGGTTATAGTAGTCTTACCAAAACAATAAGGTTCTGTTTAACAATATAGTTTTTACATCTAAATAAACTAAGATTAAATACAATTTAAAATTCAGTTTCACACTAGCCAAATTTCATGTGTTCCACAGTCCCATGTGGAAACTGGTTACTTTATTGGACAGTACAGATATAGAGCACTGCTAAAGTTTCTAAAATTGTTGTACATTTTTCCTACTGAAAGTGTGGTACATGAGTCGGCACCTGAGGCAGCACCTAGGAGTGTGTTTGGACCTCTCCCAAGAAATACAGAATCAGAAGCTGTATGTTACCAAGGCTCCTGGGTGATGTGTATGCACACTGAAGTCTAGAAGCACTGTTACGAGACACTGGCTGTCAAACTTGGTTGCATACTGGAATCATGTGGAGAGTTTAAAAAATAACAATGCCTGGTGTTCTCATTCCAAGGATTCTGACTTAATTAATATAGCGTAGGGCCTGAGCAACCAGATTTTTTAATAAGTCCCCAGGAAATCTTTGATATATATTGATTACTCACATATTTTAATTATTTTACATAAACTTCCTAGTTTAGGGTCTGGCACAGAGCAGGCATTCAATAAATGACAGTAATTATGTAAAACAACATGCCTAGAGATCTCGAGACTCGACTATGAACTAATCTTACACTTTTTGTTCATCATTCAAATTAAACAAAATATAAAAATGAAAGTTTTTTCAATATGAAGTTTAGTTATAAAGACATTTTATAAACAATGAAAAGCATGAAAATGTACATATGAAAAACCTACCTCGGCTAGGCGCCAGAGGATTTAAAGGACGATAAACAGATCGAGGCCTGAAAAAGAAAGCATAATACCCAAACATAGAATGTTTTAACTTTTATAGTGTATAATTTTATTCCAATAGAAACAAATACTCCCCTCCCCACCCTCTTTTTTTTTTGAGACAGAGTTTCACTTAGTCACCCAGGCTGGAGTACAGTGGCGCAATCTCTGCTCATTGTAACCTCTGCCTCCCGGGTTCAAGTGATTCTCCTGCCTCAGCCTCCCAAGTAGCTGGGATTACAGGCACCTGCCATCATGCCCGGCTAATTTTTTTGTATTTTTAGTTGACACGGGGTTTCACCATGTTGGCCAGGCTGGTCTTGAACTCCTGACCTCAGATGATCCACCCACCTTGGCCTCCCAAAGTGCTGGGATTACAGGCGTGAGCCACAGCACCCGGCCTCTCCCGACCCTCTATCAGTCGTTCCTTCTTCCCCCACCCCCTCCAGTTACTTGAAACAGTTCTCTTCATAGATGCTGTTCCACACTCTCCATGCAGAGGTCCCTTTATAGCCAGTGTAACGCTCTGGGTTCAGCAATAGGTCTACATACTGAGCAGCTGGAGATCTCTCATCTGAACAAGAAAAAATTCATAAAAACCATCCATATTTCACCATTTATCTAAGATTTAACAGTACAAAGCAAACCGGACTACTCAAAGGTAAGAAAAATGTCATGCTTTTCAAGTAATCTCCAACTTAAATGGTATAGTGGTTAGTATACTTGTGACTGTACTTGATGCAAGATTTGTAATAACTTGGACAAATTCCTTAAGAGAAGAAAAAACAACTCTTCCATTTCCTTTGGATACGCAGTGCTCTTTTAAGTAATATAACATCCCCTTCACCTTATTAGAGACATGAATCATTTCTTAAGTTTTAACCACCCAGGATTGAAAAGACCAAACAGAATCATAACCTGCTTTAATATTTCATATGATTTCTTCTCTAAGAATATATCCACCTAACCACGCACTTGGAAACATTTTGTAACATATATTGTATTAAAAATAGAGATTTCCCTGCTACTCTCTGCTTGGACTCATGAAGTAAACGGCTCCATAACTTTGTGATCCAAATCTGATTATTCATAAAGCTATACCATGCTCTAGTTTTTAAAAGTTATATATTACTATTTTTACTGATGTCAACATATTGAAGTGTTTTTTTTGCTCTCAAACTAAAACATAGTAGGCACAACTTTCACAAACTTGTTGAAATATTTAAAACTAAATAACCATTTTCCATATTGAAACCCAAATGAGTATTTACCCCGATCTCCACTATTTGGACTTTTTTTTTTTTTTTTTTTTTGAGACGGAGTCTCACTCTGTTGCCTAAGCTGGAGTGCAGTGGCGCAATCTCAGCTCACCACAACCTCCGCCTCCCAGGTTCAAGCGATTCTCCTGCCTCAGCCTCCCAAGTAGCTGGTACTACAGGTGCGCACCACCATGTCTGGCTTTTTGTATTTTTAGTAAAGACGGGGTTTCACTATGTTGGCCAGGCTGGTCTCAAACTCCTGACCTCGTGATCCACCTGCCTCGGCCTCCCAAAGTGGCGGGATTACAGGTGTGAGCCACTGTGCCCGGCCCTATTTGGACATTTTAATTGAGATCTCTGAGAAATACAAAAGATTTTAAAAATCTTAATTATTGAAGCTCACATTCTGAATAGAAATGGGAAACGTGCTTTTCATAGCTAAAGAAAAATTATAATGACCATGCCTCACACATGTATGCTCATAATACATAGATGCTCAAGTGTTATATATGGCACACGTATATTCCTTTATTTATATGCTTACTACCGTTTGTTGTCATGAATTTAAACAATAGTACAGAGGCAGCTGGTTTAAAACAGGAGTCAAATGTGGTCATTAAATGTCTCTCTTTCATTACCTGATGGTATATTTTCCTGTCAGTAAACAGTATTCCCTGGACAGTCAATGACCACAGACTGGGATTATCCATGATCACAAGGGCAAAACAGCATCTTGATCCATGCCTTCCAAGAATTACCTGGCACTTTTGTTTTTGAGACAGAGTCTTGCTTTGTCTCTCAGGCTGGAGTGCAGTGTGAGATCTCAACTCACTGTAACCTCCGCCTCCCAGGTTCAAGCAATTATCCTGTCTCAGCCTCCCAAGTAGCTGAGATTACAGGCACTCGCCACCATGCCTGGTTGGTTTTTTGTATTTTTAGTAGAGACGGGGTTATGCCATCTTAGCCAGGCTGGTCTCAAACTCCTGATCTCAGGTGATCCACCTGCCTGGCACTTTCATGATGTAGGAAGAATACAAGGATAACTAACAATTTACTGTATTAAATGGGTTGTATATAACTTAGACAATGGAAACATGATTTTGCAGACTATAAGAATACTGGCTCTATTTCTAGCTCTAAATTTGTAAAGATACTCCACTATAAAAAGCAAGGCAAGGAAAACAATTTACAGATGGATAGAAAAAACTGTCCAAGAACACAGATTGACTCAGGGCTCAAAAACAATAACTTTTAAAATCTTAATTTAAAATAAAAATTCAAATTATGAAGTATAAGTATGGCTTTTGATATGGGCATGGTGGCACATGCCTCTAGTCCCAGTTGCTTGGGAGGCTGAAGTGGGAGGATCACTTGAGCCCAGGAGTCGGAGGCTGCAGTGAACTATGATGGCACCACTACACTCCACCCTGGGCAACAGCCTTTTTTTTTTTTTTTTTAAAAAAAAAAAGAAAGTATGGCTTTTAGGAAAGAAAAAAAATCTTAAAATTCAGTATTTAATTTCTAAGTTGTATAGTTTTAATCTCCATAAGCTGCTCTTGAATAAATTCATCTGCAAAACTGAATTATATATAAGCTTCACAATATAACATTAATTTATGTTCTCTGACACATATATATTATATATTTATAAATAATTTGTGTATGTGTGTGTACATGTAGGACTACATGTGTATAGAATCCTCTACAAACGTGCAAATTGGACTAGTACCAACCTCTTTTCCCAAGAAAACCAACCAAATAACCAATAAAGAAGAAAAACCATGATTCAGATATTAAACCATGATGATTTAAAATATACTTTAAGGGAGCTAAAAAATCACAAGAGGAAAATCAATTATATCAGGTTTTTCATTGTTCTTTTTTAAGAAAAGTGGTCTTACTTTGTTGTGCAGGCTGGACTCGAACTCCTGAGCTCAAGCAAGCCTCCTGCCTCAGCCTCCCAAGTAGCTGGGACTCCAGGTGCTCACCACGACACACAGCTCAATTACATCAGGTTTTATAACTACTTAAGTAAAACTTACATTTTCAATGTTCTTAATGTTTATTCCCTTAGTTTAATCAATACTTTTTAAAAAAATCTTGTAATACTTTTTCAAATCATGAAAAGAGTGGGTTTTGTTAACCTATACAAGGAGTTTGCAAACTACAGCTTGTGTGCCAAATCTGGCCTGCTGCTTATTTTTGTAAATAAAGTTTTCATGGAACACAGCCATGTTCATTTGTTTACATACTGCTTTCACACTATTATGGCAGAGATGAGTAATTCCAACAGAGACCCTATAGTCAGTCTATAAAGCCTAAAATAGTTACCATTAGTCCATTTTCTTAAAAAGCTTACCAACCTCTGCTCTATACTGACAAGAATTTCATGGGACATCCAGAGTGAGCAACGTGTGTGGCAGAAAGCATCTACAGGCCAAGTTCTCTACAAACACACTAGCTGGTAGTGCCCATCCTTATCCCTGGGCCATCTGTGACACTGATTTTCATTTGTTCAACTGAAACTTGTCTCAGTTTGCACAGCTGCGTCATTCATTCAGATAATTCTCTCTAAATTATCTGGCCCTCTACTATGACCCTCTCCCACAAAAGTTTTATCTTCTTTCTGCCTCTACAAAGCAGCTTCATAATTCCTTATTCTTGGAATTCATGAAGTTGAACTAGTGTTATTTCCTCCTCTTCAAGTATATATATATATATATGTGTGTATATATATATGTGTATATATATGTGTATATATATATGTGTATATATGTATATATATATGTGTATATGTGTGTGTGTGTGTATATATATATATATATATATTTTTTTTTTTTGCGATGAGGCTGACTCTGTTGAGCAGTGGGGAGTGCAATGGCATGGTCTCAGCTCAATGCAACCTCTGCCTGTCGGGTTCAAGCAATTCTCCTGCCTCAGCCTCCCATGTAGCTGGGACTACAGACATGTACCACCACGCCTGGCTAGTTTTTGTATTATTAGTAGAGGCAGGGTTTTGCCATGTTGGCCAAGCCAGTCTCAAACTCCTAACTTCAGGTGATTCACCTGCCTCAGCCTCCCAAAGTGCTGGGATTACAGGCATGGGCCACCGTGCCTGGCCTTAAGTATACGATTTTTTTCTAACTGAATTTCCTTTCCACTGTCCTAATTTAATAGAGTTATGAGGTCATACCACATTTTCTAGGATGTTAAACTTTCCTCCCTACTTCCTAACTCATATATCTCTTAAACATTAATGGTAGCATACAGAACAACTTAGTGTGCAAGCTCTTTGCTACGGTCACAGATAAAAAAATACTGTATTATAGACTCAGGATTAAGCTTAAAGCCCTCCATCACCAACCCTACCCCAAACTGCTACTAACTCACTATTAAAACATGATTTACAGTCAAGGAGAAGCTACAGTTTATAAAGCTCTCAAAAAATTTTGATACACAACCAGATTTAGAAACTACTGTTTTAAACATTAAATTTATTAATGAACATATTTTAAGGGAAAAAATAAAACTAAAAATCTATCATGCTATTTAGGCTTTTTATGAACCAACTAGTTCATTCAGCAAGTATTTACTAAGCATCTACCACGTCCAGGCACCATTCTAGGCACTAGGGATACATTAGTGAACCAAAAACAAAGCCCTTGCCCTCAAATAGCTCACAATCTAGCTGGGGAAGACTGACAAGAAACCGATACACTCAATAATATGCCATATACTGTCAGACAGTTGTTAGTGCTTGGGCAGGGTGGGGGCCATCAAAGCAAAGGGACAGGGAGTGATAGTGGCTACTATCTTACACAGCGAGATGAGAGCAGGCTTTTCTGATAAAGTGACATTTGAGGAGAAACATGAACAAGAAGCAAGCCATGATAAAGACAGTAACAACAACAACAAAAAAGAGTGGTAGGGAAAGCAGTTTACCTTAAAGGATATTAAATTACTAAATTATTTTAAAAACTACTATTTGATCTATAGGGATCATCTTCCATTCAAATGAAGTCATTATCAACAGCAAAACAGCAGGAAATGGACATATTCCCTAGTAAACTGGGTGAATATTCTTTATATTTTTGTTTTAATCCACTGAATTTGGGAAACAGCAATAACTAAACAATGATTCTAAAGCTACCCTGACAGTAATTTTAAAAACTACTATAGGCCAGGCACGGTGGCTGATGGCTGTAATCCCAGCACTGTGGGAGGCCAAGGCAGACGGATCACCTGAGGTCAGGAGTTTGAGACCAACCTGGCCAACATGGCGAAACCCTGTCTCTACTAAAAATAAAAAAAAAAATTAGCTGTGCATGGTGGTGCATGCCTGTAATCCCAGCCACTAGGGAGGCTGAGGCAGAATTGCTTGAACCTAGGAGACAGGTTGCAGTGAGCCAAGATTGTGCCATTGCACTCCAGCCTGGGCAACAGAGTGAGACTCCATCTCAAAACAAAACAAAACAAATCAAAAACAAACTGCATATAAACCATTGGAATATATATGAACATTACAACTCAGAAGAGTCATGGTAAACCAATTAGTAGGTACCATGGTTTTATAAGAATATAAAAATAATTGATTTTAAATATAATCTTGAAAATCTTAAGGGGATGATTTCATGTAAATTCTTAAAAAATATTTCTTACTTTCTACAATTTAAGAAACTAATATTTTAAAAAATAGTTAACACGGCCAGGTGCAGTGGCTCAAGCCTGTAATCCCAGCACTTTGGGAGGCTGAGGCAGGTGGATCACGAGGTCAGGAGATCAAGACCATCCTGGCTAACATGGTGAAACCCCGTCTCTACTAAATATACAAAAAATTAGCTGGGCGTGGTGGTGGGCACCTGTAGTCCCAGCTACTCGGGAGGCTGAGGCAGGAGAATGGCGTGAACCTGGGGGGCGGAGCTTGCAGTGAGCCGAGATTGTGCCACTGCACTCCAGCCTGGGCGACACAGCGAGACTCTGTCTCAAAAAAAAAAAAAAAATCGTTAACACTGTTTATACTGATGGCAGGTAATCTACATATCAATTTATTTATAGCAAGTACTTCCTGCAATTAAGTATTTTTATTAAATACCTATTTACCATAAGAGTAATATATAGTCACACAAATTATTAATTTGAAAACCTATTAAATAAGCACTATTATTTATACTTTAATCAAAGAATAGGTAAATGGACAATTTAGAAATAAATGACTATGAGTGTTAAGCACTCAAATATAAATGGCAACCAAAGAGCAAATGTGAAAGGAGAGGTTCAATGGCTTGCTTTGATAAAAGTTTTACCAATTCTCTATATCATAGAGAGGACAGATACTTCATTAATTACCCCTTAGTATAACCTCACTCAGATTCCTTTAAAATTTCCTTACTGAAACCATATAAGCCAAGATAACATTCCATCTCCCAGTATTATTCTCAGTTTACCATACTATCGTAGAAGCTCACTCTAACTTACTCCACTATGGGCTGGATTTATAGCACAATTCTACCCGTGAATCTTTTTTAAAACTTTAGAAAGCAGAGCATTCTAGATACTTGAAGAGTTCCAAAGAACTACTATTTCCAACTATGCACACTTAATCCCCAAATTCTTTTCCACTGTGAAAAATATAACAATACCAAGGAAAAAGGTGAAGAGAAACTAAATGAATGATTTATGCCTACTCAGCACAATTCTTTGGGAATATTATCCCACAGATAAAAAATTTTGAGTCACTGCAATTACCTTCTGTTAAGAGAAGTGGTAGTTACTCTGGTGGAGAGTGTCCAGTCTTTCTACCATTCCAGGGGACTCTTGGAAAAAGGGCTGTGGAGAAGTCGAATTAGAGTCCTCCCCAGCATTAGAAAGCATCTTTACATGAGTTTGTTAAGACCTCTAGCAAATTCCAGTGTAAATATTTTTACAAAATGTTCACAGACCTATAACTAAGTGGCTTCAATTGAAGGTCCATGGCAGATGGTATATCATAATGGAAAGAATACAGGTTTTGGATTCGGATATGGGATCAAATCCTGCCTCAGCCTCTTGCTATTGTGTGATCTTGGGCAAGTTATTTAGTCTTTTTCAGACTCAGTTTTCTCAGATATGAAATAATACACACTTATGAAGGTAGCTGCAAAGACCAGAAATAATGTATTTAAGGCACTTAACATAGGGCCTGGAACACAGGCTCTCAATAAATGCCATTATGAATAATAAGGTCTACATAGCAAAATCCAGTACTGAAGCTATAATTCAGTTTATATTTTCATTGATTAAAATGTCTTATAAAAGGGTTAAAGTTAAAATAATTTAATTATAATAGTTTATTGTATTACCATCAAGTTCACAAAAGTGATCCCGTGAATCATCATATCTTGCCCAGTCAATGAAAGCTTCTTTGCTTTGATTACTATGGGAAGGAGGAATAAAAAAGAAAAATTATTAAATTTGGAGCTGAAACTTTTAATACTGTATTCTAGTGTAATTAAAATAGATAATCTGAGGTCAGTTAAAGATTAGATGATGTCACAATTCTGCTATTAGTGATTACATGAAGGGATGACAAAAAACAAGTTATAGGAAAATATATGTATTAATTTCCTTGAGTAATTTATATTTCTTAACTATACTGAATTATTAGGACTAGTCAATAATAATTATTTCAAGGAGAAATTAATTTGTAAATACATATAACATGTAGTTAAACACAAAACTCAAGCTAAACTTTTCAATTAACTTAGAAATTATAACGTTAAACGTATTTTTTCCGAAGTAATTAAATTTATTTTCAGAATTCTTTTAATTTAAATTGTGTCTATACTTACAAGATCTAAAATACCAATAACTGTATTTCTATAATCTCCCATCCAATGTGGTATTCACTGGTTACAACAATGCCACTTTTATCATGGTGTATCACTCGTTTCACAGCCTAGTTAACATTTAACAAAATCTATGATCAAGATTTCTAACTTGAAGAACTGATAAGTAACAACTACATTCCTTGAAATCAACTTTGATCTACATTAACTTGAACCTATATTCAGGCCTTCTCTGTATTGAATACTCATGATGGTAGTATCTATCAGAGAGGCATCATTTTGCTACCCTCTTTATTCATAACACAAAAGGAAAAAACAAGGTACAAAAAACTGTATAAATCAGGTATATAAAGGTAAAAATCAGGTAATTCCTAAATGTGGTACTGTCATAATCAAGAATTTGTTTTGTATTTGAGAAGCCACTACAAAGAAGTGTATAAGCTTGGCTGTACTACATCAACTTTATCAATACATTTTTCCAGTTCAACTTACTGTGGAATTTTTTTCCCTATGGGAGTATATAATAAAAATTAACAAAAATATTGTATCACAGTTGACCCAACTGAAATACGTGATGCCATAAACAATAATGCCTAATTACAGCTAAAATGACGTTAACTAAACTTGTGTTTAATAAGATAGATCTTATGTTGAAAGTAGTGAAGAACAAATCAATAGTGATACAAATTCCTATTTTCTTGTTAACAATATGACTTTCAGGAAATTTCTTCTTTGAGCATCCTCATTTGAAGAGGCTTTGCTGATTCTTTCACCTAACCCCTGCCTAAAACCACAGTAAAGCCATGCCTAAGCCCGAAAAAACATTGAATGTGCATCTAATGCTAATAAAGCTGGCTCAGTTTGATTTATAAATGAGTTAGAAGGGACCTTAGAGGTTATCTACTTCAGCTTTTCCAAATGTCAGTTTGAAGATGGATGCAACACTATTTGCATGAGAATTTCTTGGACTTAACTCAGCACTTCCTTTCAAGATAGTGTCCCAAGGTTAAAGTAGTAGTCTTCAAACTGGGAAATGAGGAGCATAAAAGATGGAATAGGGAATGAGAAACTTTCTGGGAGTGATAAATATATACATATATTTTTTGAGACAGGGTCTCACTGCACCCAGGCTGGAGTGCACTGACATCATAGTTCACTGTAGCCTTGACCTTCTGGGATCAAGTGATCCTTCTATCCTCAGCCTCCCAAGTAGCTCGAACTATAGACATACGCCAACACATCCAGCTAATTTATTTATTTATTTTTTTGTACAGACAGGGTCTTGCTATGTTGCCCAGGCTGGTCTCAAACTCCTGGGCTCAAGTGATCTGCTTGTCTTGGCCTCCCAAAGTGCTGGGAGTACAGGTGTGAGTCACCATGCCCAGTCAAAATATATATATATATATATATATATACACACACGTATATATATACGTATATATATACACACGTATATATATACGTATATATATACACACGTATATATATACGTATATATATACACACGTATATATATACGTATATATATACACACGTATATATATACGTATATATATACACACGTATATATATACGTATATATATACACGTATATATATATGTGTGTATGTATGTGTGTGTATATATATGTGTGTATGTATGTGTGTGTATATATATATATATATATATATATATTTTTTTTTTTTTTTTTTTTTTTGAGACACAGTTTTACTCTGTCACCCAGGCTGGAGTGTAGTGGCACGATCTTGGCTCACCGCAACCTCCACCTCCTGGGTTCAAGTGATTCTCCTGCCTCACCCTCCTGAGTAGCTGGGATTACAGGCGTCTGCCACCACGCCTGGCTAATTTTTTTATTTTTAGTAGTATTTAAGTAGTATTTTCACCATGTTGGCCAGGTTGGTCTTGAACTCCTGGCCTCACATGATCCCCCTGCCTCGGCCTCCCAAAGTGCTAGGATTACAGGCATGAGACACAACACCCAACCTATGGTATCTTAATTGTGATGATGTTATATGGGTGGACACATGTCAAAACATCAAACTGTATACTTTATATGCAGTGTATCATATTTCATTATACCTCAAAGTAAAGCTGTTTAAAAATCATAGTACCAATCACTGGAGAAGTTGTAGAACAGATAACTGATACACTACTAGTAGCAATATAATTTGGTAGCAATTTTAGAAAACAATTTGGCAGTACCTAATCTCATTTCTAGGTATATTCTCCATAAAAATATACATATGTATGTACCAAATTTTTTTTTTATTTTTTCACAGATAGTGTCTCACTTTGTCACTCAGGCTGGGGAGTACAGTGGCACAATCATAGCTCATTGCAGTCTCAAACTCATGAACTCAAAGTGATCCTCCTGCCTCAGCCACTCAAGTAACTGGGACTATAGGCTCATGCCACTGCACCTGGCTATTTTTTTTTTTAATTTTTTGTAGAGACAGGATCTCACTTGTTGGCCAGGCTGATTTTGAACTCCTGGCTTCAACCAATCCTCCTCCCTTGGCCTCCCAAAGTACTGGGATTACAGGCATGAGCCACCATGTCCAACTGTATCCACCAAAATATTTCTGAAATGGCCCCAAAGCATAAGCTATCAAGAGCAGAATGGAAACATGGCACATTCTTACTATAGAATACTATGTGCCAATAAAAAAGAATTAAACATTACTATGCCCAAAAACATGAATGAATCTCAGACACATGTTAACAAAAAGAAGCCAGATACAACAGAATATGTTCTATATCATTCTATTTATAAACAGTTAAAACTAATCTCTGTCAGTATCTCAAAATCACGGTTAACTTTGGAAGGTGATAATGACTAGGAAAGTACACATGGTAATCTGGACAGCAAGTATAATGCTCTGGATGGTGGCTATAGAGTTGGGTTCACTTTGTAAAGTTACATTGACCTTTACACTTAAGAATTTTCTATTCCACCATATGTGTATTATACTTAAATTTTTTAAGTTTAAAGAATAATTTCTGTTCAACAACAAAAAACTATATGCAAAATTAAAGGACAAATCCTAACAACACAGCCAACAAAGAATTATCACATTATATAAAGAATGCTTACAAATCAGTAATAATTTTAAAATCCAACCCAATGGAGAAAAAAATGACAAAGAATATAAACTGGCAATTTACCCCAAAATCTTCCAATGACTTAAGCCTAGTCCCTAGATCATTCCTCTATTTACACTCTCTCCTTGGTGATCTCATTTAGGTTTATGGCTGCTAAACACCATCTATTCATTGACTGACATCCAGACCTCTCCCCTATTTCAGATTTGTATATCCAACTGCCTACCTGAAATCTCCAAGTGGATGTCTCACAGGCAGCTCAAACTTAACAAATCCAAATTTGACTATAACTTTGTCTCAGACTTGCTCCTCCTCCAGCTGTCCACAGGTCAGTAAATGGCAACTCCATTTTTATAATTCCAAATCTTGTAGTCATCCAAAAGCTCATATCTTCTCAATACCACATATCCAATACTGCAGCAAATCCTGTTAGCTTTATCTTCAAAATACATCCAGAACCTGACCGCTTCTCATCATTTCCACTGCTATCACCCTGGTTTAAATCACCATAATGTCTTATTTGGATTACTACGATAATCACGTAATAAGGCTTCTGCAACATATCAGGCTCCCTCAACACATGCCCTTAACTCCTCTGTTCAAAACCTCCCTGTGAGTTTTATTCCACCCAGTCTAAGAGCAAACACTCATTATAATTGCTTTCAAGGCTCTACAAGATCTCTACCCACCCCACCTCCTGCCCCATCCCTAGCATCTTTTGACCTTGTCTTCTGCTACTTTGCCCTTGATGACTGTGCTGCAGTTACATTGGTCTTATTGTGTTTAAGTCTAGGCATGATCCTGCCATGGGGGTTTTCAACTAACATTTATATATACCTGGAATGCTCATCCCCCAGCCAACCATAGTAAGACTCATGCCTTCACCTTCTTCGGCAATTTGTTCAAATGTTGTATTATCTTCTCTGACCACCCAATTTAAAACAGTGCCACTCTCTCACTCCTAGCCCTCTTTGTTCTTCCCTGCCTGTCTTCCCTAGCATTCATCATCATTTTACTTACTTATTTCTCATATATTTTACTTGTTTATTGTGTTATTTCCTCTGACAAGGATCAAGTTGCACGAGGGCGGAAATTTTATCCATTACGCTACTGGATTCCTAGTACCCTAGAACAGTGCTTGGCACATTGTAGACATTCATTTGTTGAATGAATAAGAAACTCAAATGTCCAATAAATAAAAAATGCTCAAATCCACTAGTAATTACGAAGTATAAAATAAAAACAAGGTACTATTTCACACTCAACAAACATTATCAACTTTTGGTAAGGATGTAGAGAATGATACAAGCTGTCAGCACTGGAGTCAGTATATATTCACACCAAGTACTATGGAATGTCATCAGGCAATATCAAGAATGGGTATTAAAAAGACAATCCTAAGATTCAACAATTCTACTTCTAATGTGAAAAAAAATTTGGGAATGCTCAAGGTGGCATGTTTGTAAAAGTAAATAATTGGAAATAGCTAAACATCCATCAATAAGTGAATAGCTAAGTAAAATATGGGATATTTATATGATGAAAATCATTCATCAGTTAAAAGAATAAATCTGTGTTTCAACATGGACAGATCTAGAAAGCAAAATGTACAATGAAAAATGTAGCAGAATGTTAAATATAGGATATCATTTATACAAAGGAAAAATAAAACCATATACACAAAATAAAACTATCTTATTTATACATATAAATATATAAAAACAAAAACAGACTGGATATACACCAACTAATTCTTGATAGTAGTTACCTCTACTGGATTAGGGAATACAGCATAAGGGATTTTAAATTTATCTGTGATGTTTCTTGTTCCTTAAAACATATGGCAAAAAATGTTAATATTTATTTACTTGGAATGGAGGATTATTTATTTGAAATGGAGGATATGTATGTGGGTGTTTATTATCTTTTATTTTCCTATATTAAATTTTGTCTTCAATAAATAAAATTGCTAACTTATACTGAGTCATTAGCAATTATGGTACATAAATACAAATCTTTTTTTTTTTTTTTTTGAGACAGAGTCTCACTCTTGTCACCCAGGTTAGAGTGCAACGGTGTGATCTCAGCTCACTGCAACCTCCGCCTCCCAGGTTCAAGCAATTCTCCTGCCTCAGCCTCTCAGGTAGCTGGGATTATAGGCACCCGCCACCACACCCGGCTAATTTTTGTATTTTTAGTAGAGATGGGGTTTCACCATGTTGGCCAGGCTAGTCCTAAACTCCTGGCCTCAGGTGATCTGCCCACTTCAGCCTCCCAAAGTGCTGGGATTACAGGCATGAGCCACCATGCCCGGCTCATAAATACAAACCTAATCAAATGGGAATGTAAAGGAATTTCTGAAATATCTCATTCCCAACTACTGATTATGTCTAGTCATTTTATACTACACAATTTGAGGCCATTTATATATTGTTTATGCTGGTTTCTGTGTAGAACAAATAAGGAAAAGTTAACAGAAAAAAAATCTACGAAATTTAACAGGCTAATAACTTTTATCATTCAAAATGTAACATCCAGACTCAATCACTATTTAAAAAGATTTAGGAGTTCAAGCCCCTTCTTCCATAGTAATCAGGAAAAATTGATCCATAAACCCTGTTAGCTGAACAATCTTGTAAATTTCTACTTTTTAAAAGATTTACTATGGATGATACATTCTAGAAATTTAAGGATAAATCAGCCAAGAAGAGGCAAAGCTATTATGAAATTTAGGATAAAGAAAAACTTTTTCTTCCTTTTAAAAATATATTAGTTAAAACTTTAATGGGTTCGAAAATGTTTTACCAAAATCATAAAAAATTGATTCTTGATATCAATGAGAATATTTTCTTAATATTACCAAAATAAAACTTGCCTTAATGTGCTGTTAATTGCTCCCAGTTTATTAGCTTGCTCACAATCTTCTAATTCTTTGGTATTGTTTGCCATTTTCAAGTACTGCAAAGAAGTTCGTAAGTTTAGTAAAAATTATTACCTTATTCTTTATTTCAGTTTCTATTGGCAGAATAATCAATCTGTCAACAATGATATACACTAAATATACATACATTCCATTATAAAAATCCCTATCATATGTAAGAAATACAAATGAAAATGAGGCAGAAATTTCCACCAACTAAATATTATTTCCATCAACAACATATTAAAATTTAACAATTAGGCTGGGTGCAGTGGCTCACGTCTGTAATCAGCACTTTGGGAGGCCAAGGCGGGCGGATCACTTGAGGTCAGGAGTTCAAGACCAGCCTGGTCAACATGGTGAAACCCCGTCTCTACTAAAAATACAAAAATTATCCAAGTGTGGTGGCACACGCCTGTAATCCCAGCTACTCGGGAGAGGCTGAGGCAGGAGAATTGCTTGAACCTGGGAGGTAGAGGTTGAAGTGAGCTGAGATCACGCCACTGCACTCCAGCCTGCATGACAGAGCAAGACTCTGTCTCAAAAAAATAAATAAAAATTCAAAAGTAAAAGTTAACAATTAGCACTGATGTGTTGGTGATATCAACTGAAAAAACAACCCTCTTGGGAAGTAAATTTGACCATATATATATATATATATATATATATATATATATATATATATATATCAAACGTGTGTGTGCAAACATATATATATATATGGTCAAATTTAGTTCTAAAGAGGGTTTTTATATAAAAGTTATATATACACACACATATATATATACATACGTACATATATATACACACACACACATACACACACACGTTTGCAAAATGCTTAAACCTTTGAACCTGCAGTCCCACTAGTGAGACCACATCCCAGGGCAACCATTTTTTTAAAAAGGTACAACTGCCTTGGAAAATTATTTGGTATTATTTCTAATGTTGAGATAGGCATGCCTTATGGTTCAGCAATCCTGCCTTTACAGGTAGACCTAGAGAAACTCTTACATGTGTGCACAATGAGACAAAGGACAAAAATGCTAGTGCATTACTGTTTGAAATAGCCAAAAATTGGGAACAACTGAAATGTCCATCAATAGAGGAATGGCTAATATGTGTTATAGTCATACAACTGACTACAGCTATTAAGATGATGAGCAAAATCCACATATACCAACAGAGAAAATTTCAAAAGTGTAAGACTGAGTAAAAGCACAAACTGAAAAAAAGTTTGTAACCTAAAGAAATAGAAAAATATTATTAATATTATTTAAATTAAAAAAAATTTACACACAATAAATTACATATTACTTGTGGATACACATGCAATAAAAGTGTAAAATATATTACTTGTAGATACACCTGCAATAAGAATATAAAATCACAGGATACTTCAGAAAAATGGTTAGCTCTGGGAGGAAGGAATTAGAACGAACTGGGAAATGGCTGAGGGGGTTTCAACTGCTTTTATATGGTTTTATTTATTTCAGATCTGAAGCAAAAATAAATACAATAAAGTAAAAACAAAAGATTACACGGGAGAGAGAGCAAGAAGAAAACGCAAAGGAGGCACAAGAAGGAGACAGAGAGAGAGGGTATGATGATCTTTATTATGGATGCGCAGTAGTGAAAAACAGGAAATAAACGGTTCTCTAAAAACATATCAATGGCAAAATATAATACTCTCATAAAAGGACAAGAACAATAATTAAAAATGAATATCTTAATACCATCTGAAAGTACTCTGCTCAAAATATCTTGATAATTATTTACTCTATACAATATAATTCTGAACCTGCCAGGCTAACTAGTTGAAACAGAAGACTAAAAATAGCTATGTGATAAAACACCTGCTGACTAGGGGATCTGACACTATAGTTACATTTAATAGTTGTTCCAGAGATTCCAAAAACAGTACTGAAGCAATTTCAAAAGAATCTAGAAATGTACAATCTATCTGCTTGACGCAAGAGTTAGGGATTTGGAATTCTGAGGCAAAATGTCTCCATTCCCAACTAACCATAATATGGTTCTTTACTACAGCCACTGTCAGTCAGTAAATGGTAAGTTTCACAATGTAAAGCAGAAACACTCAAGGAAGAGGAGGGACTTACCTTATTAGAATGCCCAGCTTTTATTCCAACCGGAATTTTACTCTTAAAAAAACAAGAAAAGCAAAAAAATTTTTAAGTGATCTTTATTTTTTTTGGAATTTCTTCACGAATTGTCAATGCATTGCTCTATTTCATCAAGCATTTTACTCTATGAGGGGCAAATATACACTCACTCAAATTGTGTTTTCACACTATCTCATAAAGTAAAAGTGTTATCCCAATATACAGACTTATAAATCAAAGTATAGAAAACTGAATGACATACACAAAGTAAGAAAGCCAAAAGCAGCTCTAATAACTATTGCAGTATTTTTTATAGTTTATATAATTTAGGTTGAAAACACTGACAATCACTTCCTTCCACAAACTTTGTTACCATAGAAAAGAAAGTTTTGAAAGTTCAAAATTATTTGCAATGTATTATGTGCAATTTTAACTTCTGCTCTAACAAAGTGTAGGCAATTTTGGATTACTAGAAAGCTTTTTTTGGCCCACACGATTAACCTAGAGTTTACCAATCTAATCTAGGGTTTACCAATGGGAGAAGTGCATGTAGCTGGAACATTCTTTTTCACAAGGCCAATAATTAGTGTTAGGCTTTAATAAATGTATCTGAATTATTACAACCAGTTTATCAAACAGAACTTTAAACGAAATACTTAATACATATTTTATTCTTAAAGGAAACTGAATATTATAAATTTTTAAAGAATGTTCCCTTTAGGAAGGACATTGGTACAGATTTTTAAGGACAACAAACTAGACTAACTGATTAGGTAAGAAAAGCAGAAAGTGAAAGGAAAACAAAGCTTACAACTAATTACTGTTGAAGAAGAGGAATATAATTAATTATGTTAGATAACAAAAATCAAAGTCTAAAATGTAGCATTCTCTTGGTATTAAGTATAGGTTTTTTTTTAAATGTAAATGTAACAAGGCCAAGTGAAAATCTAATTCTAAGCCTGAAATTTCCCCAATTAAATCACTATAAATTTGAAATATAGGGTCCAGTAGCTTGTTTTTATTTTGTTTTTTTTTTCCTATGAAACAAGATGCTGATTCAATAAAGCATGAAATAAAAGACAACTGCAGATCCAATCCTAGAACAGGCCTCTGATTTTCCTTCCATTTTAGAATAAGACTATATTTCCATATTTGATCACCAGTATCACTGGATACAAGTGTCTTCAAACCCATTTTGGTGTCAAGTATAGAATCTTCAATAATCTGGTTCTAAAGGAGAGAGCTGAGAGCATATGAATTTGCTGACACATCCAAATCCATTGACATTAGCCTGAAATAAAATAGAGGTTATGCTTTTCTAAAAGTCCAAGAGAAAATTGGCTTTGCCCTGTTATTTTATTTATTATACCTCTGGACAGGGCTCCACATGACAGTCTTTTATTGAACAGTGGCCATCTTCTGCCCAGAAAGGACAAGGTCGCTTCAGATTAACCTTGAAAGAAAGAACAAAGTTAGTAAACTCATATTATAGTTATGGGGTGCTCTCAAAGTGTCATTGTGTTGGGCACCAGTGACATGGTGGTGAATAAGAAGGAATACTTCCTATCCTCGTGGCACCTATAAGGTTCAGAATTTAAAATGACAGCAATGAGCTAGATCATGCCATTGCACTCCAGACTGGGTGACAGAGAAAGCATTTAGAACTACTTGAATGTCTTCCAGCCTCCTAATGTTATCTTATTAATGAGAATTCTCTCATGCACCCATTTATTCAACAAATAAGAACTGAGCATCCACTATGTGTCAGGCACTGGGTAGGCTATGGGGGGAAAATGGACAGAAAAAGAACTCCCCTATCCCTCTGGAACTTAAAAATCTATTGAAGGAAACAAATTAAATATTTGTAAGTTTAGTACGAGTTGTAGTCAGTGCTACAAAGAAAATCCAGAGAACTGTAATAGTGAGGCTAGCGGATGGAGGCCTCTGAGGCAGTAATATTTTAGGATGGAGGAAGTGTGCATTTGGATAAGGCAATAAAAAGCCTGGGCAGTTGTGTGAACTAAAAAACACCAGTTGGGCTGACGTTTAATGTAGAAGGGGGAGGGTGGCAGAGAACGAGGATGGAGGTAAACAAGGGACAGTCATGCAGGACATTTTAACCATGGTAAAAAAGCTGGATTTTCCTATTCTACACATTACAGGAAGACAGTAATTCAATAGGACTTGCAGATTGCCCATGCCAAAATCTAGGTTTTATTCTCCTTCCTCCCTTTTCTTGTTCCCCATCAAACAATTCATTTTTCCATTTGTCACCACCTACCTCTTGCCTACACTATTGCAATAGTCTCCCTGCTTCTACTTCTATGTCCATACAGCAACTACAGTTATCTATTTAAAACAGATCAGATCATATCAATCCCTCCTCAAAACCTTCCTGTGGCTTCCCATCACCCTTAGAGTTTATAAACTCTGCAGCAAGCTCCACAAGGCCCTCCATAACCTGGCCTCTGGCCTATCTCTCTGACCTCTTCTATTATGCTCCTCTGGCCACACTGGCCTTGCTGGGAACATACCATGCTCCCTATGTCTCAAGATCTTTATTTTTTTTTTATTTTTTGAGACAGAGTCTCACTCTGTCACCCAGGCTGGAGTGCAATGGTGCAGTTTTGGCTCACTGCAACCTCTGCCTCCTGGGTTCAAGTGATTCTCCTGCCTCAGCCCCCCAAGTAGCTGGGATTACAGGTGTCCACCACCACGCCTGGCTAATTTTTGTATTTTTAGTAGAGACAGGGTTTCACCATGTTGGCCAGGCTGGTTTCGAACTCCTGACCTCAGGTGACCCGCCTGCCTTGGCCTCCCAAAGTGCTGGGATTAGAGGCATGAACCACCGTGCCTGGCCGGTCTTTATCTTTTTTTTTTTCTTTTTTGAGACAGAGTCTTGCTCTGTTACCCAGGCTGGAGTGCAGTGGCACGAACCTGGCTCACTGCAGCCTCGAACTCCTGGGCTCAGGTGATCTTTGTACCTCAGCCTCCCAAGTAGCTGGGACCACAGATGTACCACCACACCTGGCTAATTTTTTTTTTCTTTCTTTTTTTTTTTTAAGTAGAGACAAGGTCTCACTATGTTTCCCAGGTTGGGCTGGAATTCCTGGGCTCAAGCCATCCACCCACCTCAGACTCCCAGTGTTAAGATTATAGGTGTGAGCCACCATGCCCGGCCTCAAGGTCTTTATATTTGCTGTCCTCTCTGCCTGTATTATTGCTCCTCCAGATCTTATGACGGCTCACTCTTTCGCCGCATTCAAGTCTCTCTCACATATCACACCTAAGCAGAGAGACCATTCCTGGCCAGGCTTGCTAAAGTAGTGCTCAGTATGCAACCTCTACCCCAACGTACTGTTTTACATTCTTTTATGGCACTTATCCCTGAATGTTATCTGCTTATTGTCTGCGCCTCCTACCATAAGGATCAGAATTTTGCATCATCTTATCCTTAGTGCTTGGAACAGTGGTATAATACATAGTAGACACCTAATTAATATGGTTAAGTAAACAATATCTATATTACAGAGAAGAAGGCAAAAATAGGTAGATTGGCAACATAGAGGAGAGGGTGATCAACTCTGACTTTTGGTAATATGTAAAATGGGTATGACTAGAAGTGTTTGAGGGAGATTTAGAGGCAGTGGGGCAGGATGTGCATAAACAAAGAACCTTAAAACAGCATGGCACATCTGGGGACTGCAAGTTCTCAGCCTGGACACCTCCCTTAAGCTTCTGGCCTGTATACCCACCTGCTTCCTGGATTATCTCTTCCTGGACAAGGCATTCATAGGTACCTCAAAATTAACATATCCAAAACTGCACCTCCTCCTTCTAGAAATTCTTACCATCTGAGTAAAATGCAACTCCATTATTCTAGTTCCTCAAGCCAAAAATCTTGGCAGCTTTTCCAGCAACTCCCTGAGGCTCTGGCCTCTAACAAGCCAGTATCTGGGAACCCATGTAGCAAATAAAGAATAAACCTCCTTGAGCCTAAACAGAAGGGACAGCACTCTATGTGCCTTCTTCCCCTGGCTTACTTCAGGCGCTAATCCCAGCCATCCACTCTCTCCTTGGAAAAAGGTTGGAGGCCTCTGCCAGCAAGAACAGGAGGAACAGCACCCTCTGCGCTTTCTTCCCTGACTTGCTCCTGAGATAAGTTTCTGCAACCTCTCATTAGAAGGAGGCAAGGGGACCTCTCCATGACAAGAAAGAGAAGGGGATATTCCCTGTGTCTTCTTCCCTGGCTTGCTTCAGGGAACTCCAGACCAAAAGGTTACTCCTGCAAGGTGCATGTGAGACTTCTTGCTTGAACGGGAGAGTAAGCACACTCTGCACCTCCTTCCCTGGCTTGCTCCAGACACAATCCCAACTCTGAAATCTCTGCCACCACGAATGGAAGGGACAGCACTTCTCATGCCTTCTGCCTCCATGTGCTCTAGAGACAAACTCCCACAATCTCTCAATGGAAGGAGGCGGGGGGACCTCCCCATTCCTGAAAAGGAAAGTCAGCACTCCCTGTGCCTTTCTCCTGGCATGCTTCAGTAATAGCTTCAGATCAGAAGTCTCCCCCTGCTAGGGGGGCATGAGACCTGCTGGCCCAAAAAGTAGAGTGGGCTTCCTGCACCTTTTCCCCTACAGGCTCTGGCAATAATTCCAGGTCTTCAACTCTCCATGAAAATAATTTTTGAACACATCAAGAACCCCAACTTTTATAGCCTTCACTGGAGGGATAGGCTGCTAAATCACCTAGCTCTGGGAGTTGATGAAGCCCTACACTCCTGAGTCTCCTAGACCACAGAGAACAAACAGGTGACTTTTAAACTTGCAAATAAATATTCAGCAGCTATCTCTCTCTTCCAAGTTAAAAAGTCACCAGTTAGATCAAGAATACAGGCATCTGCCTCAGATGCTCTCTTTGGTGCAGAGCAGAATCAGTGGGAGATAAACTCTGGCTTTCAGCTTCTCTGCAAGGAAAGAAGAAACCAAAGCACACATCTAACATCCCAATATCTCTAGTCATATCCCAAGGGAATGGCTTCTATACCACCTCTCTCAAGGCAATAGTACAACTTGACTCTAATTTCTTGGAGGCCACTAAGAACAGAGACAGCAGGCTGGACAAGCACAAAGTTTTGCGAAACTAGAATACTGCCAAGGCTGATTGGGAAGAAACACCTGGTACATAAGACCAGTCTAACAAGACTAGAGAAGGTAGTTCTTTTATATAATACACAGAAACCAATACAGAGTTAAGAAAAATGAAGAATTACTCCTTCTAGTAATACTCACCATCTGAGTAAACAGCAACTCCATTATTCTAGTTCCTCAAGCCAAAATCTTGGCAGCCTTTCCAGCAACTCCCTGCAGATTTGGCTTCTAACAAGCCAGTATCTAGGAGCCTATGTAGCAAATAAAGAATAAACCTCCTGAAGCCTAAACAGAAGGGACAGCATTCTATGTGCCTTAAGTTAAGAAAAATGAAGAAATAGGGAAATATGCTCCAAAAAAAAAAAAGAACAAGACAATCTCAATTAGAAGCCAACCCTACTGAAAGGAAGATATGTGATTTACCTAACAGGACATTTAGAAGGAGTCATAAAGATGCTCACTGAGGTAAGGAGTGCGATGCATGAACAAATTGAGAATATCAACAAAGAGGTAGAAAATATTTTTAAAATATCAAACAGAAATCATTGACCTGAAGAACACAATAGCCAAACTAAAAAAATTCAGTAGAGGGGTCCAACAGCAGACTAGATCAAGCAGAAGAAAGGATTAGCAAACTTGAAGACAGTTCAATGGAAATCATCCAATCTGAGGAACAAAAAGAAAAAAGAATGAAAAAGAGTGAAGACAGTCTAAGGGACTCATAGGATACCACCAAGCAGAATTACACACATTATCAGAGTACCAGAAGGAGAAGAAAGAGAAAAAGGGACAAAAAAAATTCAAAGAAAAAGTGGCAGAACACTTTCCAAGTCTGGGGAAGGAAACAGAAAGCCAGATCCCTCCTGTTAGCTTGCTTATGATGAAAGAAAGAAAGAAGGACAGAAAGAGAGAGAGAGAGAAAGAAAAAAAAGAAAAACAAAGCAAAAAAAAAAAAAACCCAGCCAGATCCAGGAAGTTCAATGAAAACTTGATAGGAGGAATCCGAAGAGACTCACACACCAAAAGACGTTATTATCAAATTGTCAAAAGTTAAAGACAGAGAAAATATTGAAAGCTGCAAGGGAAAAGTGAGTTGTTACAAACAAGGGAACTTCCAGTAAATTATAGGCAAAATTTTCAACAGAAACCTTGTAGGCCAGAAAGGAGTGGAATGTTAGATTCAAAAAGCTGAAAGAAAAGGAAGAAAAAGAATTGTCAACCAAAAATACTATATCCAGTGATCCTGTTCTTCAAAAATAAAAGGGGAAATAAAAACTTTCTCAGACAAAACGTAAGGAAATTTATCACCACTAGATCTGCCTTATGAGAAATGCTAAAAGGATCCTTCAAGCTGAAGAAAAATGCTGCCAACTAGCAATATTAAAAACATATGAAAACGGCTGGGTGCAGGGGCTTACACCTGTAATCCCAACAACTTGGGAGGCCGAAGCGGGTGGATCACTTGAGGCCAGAAATTCGAGACCAGCCTGGCCAACGTGGTGAAACCTCATCTCTACTAAAAAAGTACAAAAATTAGCTGGGTGTGCTGGTGTGCACCTGTAATCCCAGCTACTCGGGAAGCCGAGTCAAGAGAATCACTTGAACTTGGGAGGCGGACGTTGCAGTGAGCCAAGATCGTGCCACTGCACTCCAGCCTGGGTGATAGAGTAAGACTCCATCTCAAACATAAATAAATAAATAAATTAGAAAACATAAAACTCACTAGTAAAAGTAAGCATACAAACTCAGAACACTATTATACTGTACTGGTGGTGTAAATATCAATTATATATCTAATAGGAAAGTTAAAAGACAAAATATTAAAAATAAATAACTATAGCTATAATACACTATACAAACTATACAAGATATAAGACATGTCCTTAAAAACAAATTGGGGTGGGGAGGCAAGTAAAAGTATAGCATTTATGCAAGTGATCAAAGTTAAGTCAGTATCAGCTGAAAACAGCCTGCTACTAACACAAGATGTATGTAGGTCTCATGGTAACTACAAAGCAAAAACCTTTAGTAGTTGCAGAAAAGATAAAAGATTCAAGGCATACCACTATAAAAAAATCATCAAACCACAAAGGAAAACAGCAAGAGAGGAGGAGAGAACAAACGAATTACAGATTAACAAAAAAAGCAATTAACAGAATGGCAATAGTAAGTCCTTACCTATCAATGATTACTTTGAATGCAAATGGATTAAATTATCCAATCAAAAGTGGATTGGATTAAAAGTGGCGAATGGATTAAAAAATAAGACCTAACTATATGCTGCTTATAAAAGACTTGCTTCACCTCTAAGGACACACACAGACTGAAAAGATAGAAAAAGATGTTCTATGCAACTAGAAACCAAAAGAGCAGGGGTAGCTATCCATATGTCAGACAAAATAGACTTTAAGTCAAACATGTAAAAAGAGATAAAGAAGGTCATTTAAAATGATAAGGGGGTCAATTTATCAAGAAGTTACAAAAACTAAATATATATATGCACCCAACTTCTGAAAAGGTAAATATATAAAGCAAATATCAATAGCTTTGAAGAGAGAGATAAATTGCAATACAATAAGACTTCAATACTCCACTTTCAACATTAGATCACCTAGACAGAAAAAAAAAAATCAATGAGGAAACACTGGATTTGAACTACACTTTAGACCAAATGGCCCTACCAGATATTTATAGAATATTCCATACAACAGTAACAGAATATACATTATTCTCAGTGCATATGGAACATTCTCCAGGATAGAGCATGTTAGGCCACAAAACAAGTCTTAACAAATTTAAGAACACTGAAATCATACGAAGTATCTTATGTGACCACACTAACATGAAACTAGAAATCAGTAATCAATGAAACCAAAGTTTTTTTTTAAAGATAAACAAATAGACAAACCTTTAGCTAGATTAACAAAGAAAAAGAGAAGATGCCAACAAAATCAGAATTAAAGAGGAGACATTACAACTGACATCGAAGAAAAAGAGACTACTAATCACGACTATGTTCCAATAAATTGGATAACCTAGAAGAAATGAAGATATTACTAGAAACATGCAGCCTACAAAAGCTGGAGTAAGGAAGTCATGAAAATCTGAATAGGCCAATAATAATTAAGGAAACTGATTCAATAAAAAGTATCTTATCAAAGAAAGACGAGGCACTGGGCGCAGTGGCTCATGCCTGTAATCTCAGCACTTTGGGAAGCTAAGGCAGGTGGATCACCTGAGGTCAGGTCAGGAGTTCAAGACCAGCCTGGACAACATGGTGAAACCCTGTCTCTATTAAAAATACAAAAATTAGCTGGGTGTGGTGGCATGGGCCTATAATCCCAGCTACTCAACAGGCTGAGGCAGGAGAATCACTTGAACCCAGGAGATGGAGGTTGCAATGAGCCGAGATCGCGCCACTGCACTCCAGCCTGGGCAACAGAGCAAGAGTTGGTCTCAAAAAAAAAAAAAAAGACAGACAGACCAGGACCTCATGGCTTCACCGCTGAGTTCTACCAAACATATAAAGAACAGCAACCAATCCTTAAACTTTTCAAAAAAATTGAAGAGAAGGTAATACTTCCAAACTCATTTTAGAAAGCCAGTATTTACCCTGATTTCGAAGGCAGAAAAAGACACTACAAAAAAATAAACAAAGGAAACTACAGGCCAACAGCCCTGATGAAAAAAAATGCAAAAATCCTTAATAAAATATTAGTGAACCAAATCCAAGAGCATAGTAAAAAGATCACTCACCATGATCAAGTGAGATTTATCCCAGAGATGCAAGAGTAGTTTGATGTACATAAATCAATAAAAATAATACACATTAAGCAAATTAAAGACAAAAGCCACATGATTATTTTGATAGATGCAGAAAAAACATATGACAAAATTCAACATCCTTTCATGATAAAAACTACCCCTGAAAAATAAGGTATGGAAAAAATGTACCCCAGCATAATAAAGGTCATATACCCACAGCTAACATCATACTCAGTGGTGAAAACTGAAAAGCTTTTCCTCTAAGATTAGAAACAAGACAAGAACGCCCACTCTTGCCACTTCTATTCAACATAGTACTGGAAGTTCTAGTCAGAGCAATAAGGCAAGAAAAAGAAATAAAAGACATCTATATAGAAAAAGAAATGAGAATGTCTGTTTGCTGATGACATGATCTCATAGAGAGAAAACTTTAAAGACTCCACCAAAAAATCTAGTAATAAACTGGTGATAAATTCTGCAAAGTTGCAGGTTACGATGTCAGCATACAAAAGTCCATAGCATTTCTATACACTAACAATGAACAATCCCCCCCAAAATTGAGAGATCATATTTACAGTAACATCAAGAAATGAAATAGTTGTAACTTTAACCAAGGAGGTGAAAGATCTATGCACTAAAAACTAAAACACTAATGAAAGAAACTGAAGACATAAATAAGTGGAAAGACATCCCATATTCACTGATTGGAAGAATTAAATTGTTAAAATGTCCATATCACCTAAAGTGATCTACAGATTCAATACAATTCCTATCAAAATTCCTATATCATTTCTTTACAGATACATAAAAAACAATACGGCCAGACACAGCAGCTCACATCTGTAATCCCAGCACTTTAGGAAGCAGAGGTGGGAGGATCAGTTGAGGTCAGTACAAGGTTTTCAAGGCTACAGTGAGCTATGATTGTGCCACTGCACTCCAGCCCAGGCAACAGAGCAAGGCTCTGTCTCAAAAACAAAAACAAAAACAAACAAACAAAAAAAGAACAATCCTAAAATTTGTATGGATCCAGAAATGACTCTGAATAGCCAAAGCAATCATGAGCAAAAAATCCAAAGGTGGACTCATTGCACACTGTGATTGCAAAATATATTACAAAGCTACTGTAATCAAAACAGCATGGTACTGGCATAAAAATAGACACATCAACCAATGGAACAAGTTAGGAAGCCCAGAAATAAACCTAAGACTCCCAAGTATGTATGGTCAATTGATTTTTGGCAAAAGTGCCAAGAACACACAACAGGGAAAGGACAGTCTCTTTAATAAAGTGTTGGGAAAACTGGATATTCACATTCACAGGAATGAAACTGGATCCTTACCTCATACAAAAATGCTCTTCCCCAGGTATCCACATTGCTTGCTTTCTCACACTCTTTAGGTCTTCCTGAAATGGCATCTTTTCAGTCTTTTTTTGTTTGTTTTTTTGAGACAGGGTCTCACTCTGTCGCCCAGGCTGGAGTGCAGTGATGCAACCTCAGTTCACCACAACCTCTGCCTCCCAGGCTCAAGTGATTCTCCTGCCTCAGCCTCCCAAGTAGCTGGGATTACAGTTGCACATCACTACTGCCTAATTTTTTTTTTGTATTTTTAGTAGAGATGGGGTTTCACCATGTTGGCCAGGCTGGTCTTGAACTCCTGACCTCAAATGATCCACTAGCCTCGGCCTCCCAAAGTGCTGGGATTACGAGCGTGAGCCACCATGCCCAGCCCTGCTGTTTTAAGCTGCTAAATTTAAAGCTAATTTTTTAATTCAGCAACAGAAATACATGGTGCAACGAGTGGACTGTGGTAGACACTGTAACATACTACTCAGATCACCCTTCAGGAATAAAGGGGATGTAATTACCTCAGTTGTGGAAATGCTGCAGGTAGACAAGCTTGGGTGAAAAGAACCACCTTACCCAAGATTGGATCCTTATTTCCTCTGGTGGCCTTCATCCAATGACCAACTGATGGAGAGATATAAAGGCCTATACCTCTCGTGCCAAATGGGGACGACTAACTCGGAAGGGTTATTCCATCTTAAGAATTCCCCACAGGCTTACCTGAGGTTTCCACTGAGGCTGCATCACAGCTTGACATCTCCCTTTGCCCAATCCTGATTCCCTGCCTTCCCCAAACTGTTGTTCCCAAGAGTATACCCTAACTAAGCTCTTGTACACTTATCACTGTCTCAGCATATGCTTCCCAGAGAACCTAACCTGTGACAACTTGTCTAGCTCCAGGAAAATAAACAAAAACTTCAGTTTTGTTGTTGTTGTTGTTGTTTTTGAGATGAAGTCTTGCTCTGTCACCCAGGCTGGAGTGCAGTGGCATGATCTCGGCTCACAGCAACTTCCACCTCCCAGGTTCAAACGATTCTCCCACCTCAGCCTCCCAAGTAGCTGGGATTACAAGCACACTCCACCACGCCTGGCTAATTTTTTGTATTTTTAGTAGAGATGGGGTTTCACTAGGTTGGCCAGGCGGGTCTCGAACTCCTGACCTCAAGTGATGCACCCACCTCAGCTCCCAAAGTGCTTGGATTACAGGTGTGATCCACTGCACCAGGCCAAAATTCAGTATTTTTATTAGGATCACATTAAATTTACATATTAACTAGGGGCGAATTAAAATTGTTAGGCTACAAAGGATATCTTTCCATTTGTTCAAATCTACTTTTGTGTCTTTCAAGAATGTTTTAAAGCTTTCCTCCTTTAGGTTTTGCATACTTCTTGATGTACTTATTCCTATATATCTTATCTGTTTTATCGCTAATATATTTTTTGTTTTATTTTGTTTGCTTTTTTTTTTTTTTTTTTTTTTTTTTTTGAGTCAGTAGTATCGCTATGTTGCCTAGGCTTGTCTCAACCTCCTGGGCTCAAGCGATACTTCCAGCTAAGTCTCCCAAGTAGCTGGGACTACAGGCATGCACCACCATGCCTGGCTTCATTGCTAATGTAAATGGTGGTTTCCTTTCTGTTATAACTTCTAAATGGTTATTATTTACATTTATGAAGATATTGACTTTTTGTATATCAAGTTTATGGCTTGCTATATTAACATATGTTTTATTGTTTTTATTATTGATTCTTTTGCATTTTTTACATATAACTTTTTTCATATAACTACATTTTCTTATTTTTGAGACAGAGTCTCGCTGTCACCCAGGCTGGAGTGCAGTGGCGTGATCTTGGCTCACTGCAACCTCTACCTCCTGGGTTCAAGCAATTCTCATGCCTCTGCCTGCCCCCCAACCAGTAGCTGGAATTACAGGCACACGCCACCATGCCCAGCTAGTTTCTTGTATTTTTAGTGGAGACAGGGTTCTGCCATGTTGACCAGACTAGTCTCGAACTCCTGGCCTCAACTGATCCACTTGCCTCAGCCTCCCAGCGTGCCGGGATTACAGGCAGAAGCCACCATGCCCAGACAACTTTTTTCATTTATAAATGGAAATAGTTATACTTATTCCTTTAAAATCTGTATGCCTCTCCATTGTCACTTATTAGTAGGAGGTAAATAATGTGTACACATGGGCATAGAATGTGGAGTAATAGTCACTGGAGACTCAGAAGGGTGGGGTGGGCCAGGCATGGTGGCTCATGCATATCATCCTAGCACTTTGAGAGGCCAAGGTGGGCAGATCACTTGAGATCAGGAGTTCAAGACCAACCTGGCCAACATGGTGAAACCCCATCTCTACTATAAATATAAAAATTAGCCAGGCATGGTGGCACACACCTGTAGTCCCAGCTACTTGGGAGCCCTGAGGCAGGAGAATCACTTGAACCCAGGAGGTGGAGATTGCAGTGAGTCGAGATCACACCACAGCACTCCAGCTTGGGCAACAAAGGTGAGACTGTCTCCAAAAAAAAAGAAGGGTGGGAGGGGAGTAAGGGATGAGAAATTTCATAAGGGGTACAATGCACACTATCCGGGCGATGGTTCCATTAAAGGCCCAGGCTTCACCACTAGGCAATATATCCATGTAACAAAACTGCACTTGTACCCCTTAAATTTATACACAAAAAAGTAAAATAAAATTTTATGGCTCTAGTTATTTTTTTCTCTTTTTTTTTTTTTTAAATCAGAGCCATCACACTGGATAGTTGTTTTTTTCTTATTTGACTGTGCTGGGTAGTATATCCAACAGTTAATGCAGATAGTGGGTATCCTTGTCTTGGTTCCTGACCTAAGTGAGAATTCCTCTAGTGTTTCCCCATATGCAAGACGTGTTAGCTATGCTGATGTTAGGACTGAAATCATCATGTTAAGAAATATACATCATTCTTATTATTTTAAAAATCAGGAGCACATATTGAATTTTGATGATTATCAACATCAATGCAAGAATCATCCTTGCATTCTTGGAATAAAATCTATTTGGTCATGATTTTACATATATGTACATTTGTGCTTGTATATGTGCACTCAAAACTTAGGCATCATCCTTGATTTCATTTCTATATCATACGTCACACTCAATTCATCAGAAAAGCTTGCTGGTGTTGCCTTTTGTGTACAACCCTAATTTGATCATTTTCTACATTTTTCAGCTGCAGCATTCTATTGCAAATCTGTATTGTTTTTATCTGAACTAACACAAGAGTCTCCTAAATGGTTCCTCTATTTCTTGTCTTCTACCCTTACAGTCTTTTTTGCACAAAAATCCCTTCAGTAGTTTCTTATCCTGCTTAAAATAAAATCCAGCATCCTTACATGGTCAATACGGTCCTACTGTTTTTTAAATCTGGTGCCTACCTATATTTCCAACTCTCCCTCTCGTTCACTCCAGCTATACCAGCTTTCTGCCTATTCAACACACCAAGCTTATTTCTATCTCAAGACCATTTACTTGGTATTCTACATCTTTTCCCTGGCATGTTCTTTCCCCAAACCTTCTCATGGCTCTTTCACATTAGGTAGGACTTTGCTCAAATGTTACATTAGCATAAATACCTTATTTTCCCAAATACTTTCTCTAATGTAGGGCTACCTACCTCTCCCACCCTCCAATTCCCCAATATTCATTCTCTCCTACTTTACTTTTCTCCATAGAATTTACCTTATAAGCATCTGAAATTATATTTTATTGTTTACTTGTTTATTGTTTGTCTCTCTTATCAGAAAAGTTTTGTCTTATTCACTACTGTATCCATAGTACCTGACACAAACTAATCATTCAATAAATATTTACTGCATAAAGGAAAGGAATAAGAAGTAAAAAAGAGAAGTTAGAAATACCAGCTACAGCAGCCAACTGCCCAACTGCATAAAGGCAGACTGTTACCTCCACCTGTATTCCTTGCTTGTTGAATCATGTGTTTAAAATTAACTTCTTTTTGGTTGGGCATGGTGGCTCACGCCTGTAATCCCAGCACTTTGGGAGGCCAAGGCGGGTGGATCACCTGAGATCAGGAGTTGCGGACCAGCCTGGCCAACATGGTGAAACCCCGTATCTACTAAAAATATAAAAATTAGCCGGGTGTAGTGGTGTGGGCCTGTAGTCCCAGCTACTCAGGAGGCTGAGGCAGGAGAATCACTTGAACCTGGGAGGCTGAGGTTGCAGTGAACCAAGATCGTACCACTGCACTCCAGCCTGGGCAACAGAGCAAGACTCTGTCTCAAAAAAAAAAAAATTAAAATTAAAAAATAATAATAAGTTAAATTAACCTTTTCTCTTAGCTTTTTCTTTTTAAAGCTTTCCTTTCTTTGCCACTGTTGTAGGTAGAGTATATTGAGTAGAGTATATTCCTTCTTATTTCTTTTATAGGCTGACAGAACAAAAAGAGGCATAGATATCACCCAAATATCCTAGAGTTAGAGCTGAATGCATTAACTAGATCATGGCATTAACCCTCCTCTGTGAGAGGGTATGAGCATGTTTTGGTTTCATATGGAATAATTTCACTGTGTTGATCAGAACATTTTTAAACTGCATGTGTAAGAGGAAGAATCAGATTGTTGAGTAGCCAAGAACCACATTGTCACTTTTGCCTATCCAAGTTCCATTATTCCTTCTTTTGTAACAGTCCCTAATTTCCCTTTGGGAAACAATGACTCCACTTTTACTCATGCAAATGAGACTGTCAACCAAGGTGTCCTTCCTTCTTTTGGTCCAACAGGTCATATGACCGTACCTGGACAGAAATATAACTCTTACATAAAGTTTGGAAAATATGGGAAAATAGTTAATTTGATACAAAATCCCAGTGGTTCCTTAAAGGAAATGGTCATTAGTTCCAGCTTTAGTTTTATCTTTTCTGAAGTATGTTTCCTCAGCTTGTCTTTCAATTTTGTTAGCTACTTCATATCTTTTCTTAATAAAACTTCTGTTTTGTTTGTTAGCCAACAAAAATACCCTACCTGGAATACCTAAACTATTACTTTTTCATTTGAAAAATGTGACTAATATTGAGAAAATTTTGGTGTGAAGATTAAACGAGATATTCATTCAAACATTCAAATATTTGAGTACTTCTACTGACCAAGCCTGCTAGGGATAGAGAAACACAAGATACAAACCCAAAGTGAAGGAGTGAAAGAGTGAGGGACATAACATTATGTAGAGATGTGAACTGGACCACTTGTGAAGAGATGGTTTTTGATACAAGAAACACTTCCCCCACTGTATTACATTGAGCAATATGAAACTGGCATGTTCAACCATTTTTGAAATATAAAAGTAAAAATTTCATATAGTTCAATGTTATGGTAGAAAAGAAACAAGAGAAAGCAGCTACAAATGCACTTAGATTTATAGATTTAGTGGTGGAAATTTAAAGAAGCACCTGTCTCTCCAATGGCTTCTCGGCCTTTTGGCTAAGATCAAGTGAAGTATCTGTTAATACCTGATATGTCCTCTACCCGAGAACAATATATTACATGGATTTTTGGAGTAGGGAGATGGAATAGGAGCTTGCTCCATCCACTCCTCGCATCGACCTGGTATTGCAGTACTTCAGGAACGGTGCACCCCTCCGGGGGAAAAAAAAAAAAATGAAAGAAGCACATGTCTTATTCATATGTAAAATGCCTAGAGTAACAGACACTCAATAGTCTATTTAGGTATAGATTACTCTTTGAAATAAATTCATGAAATATGCTTTCCTAAAGGATTTTGTACAGAGGAGAAACATACATCACCTTTTTTGGATGTTCCTGGTGCTGATAAGAGAGATGTGTTCCCAAATCTTTAATTCTCTTATTTGTTATATTTCTGCACAAGATACTAGTTTTTAATCATCAAAAATATTTAATTTGACCAGCCTAGCCAACATGGTGAAACCTCGTCTCTACTAAAAATACAAAAATTAGCCAGGCGTGGTGGTGGGCGCCTGTAATCCCAGCTACTCGGGAGGCTGAGGCAGAAGAATCGCTTGAAGCCAGGAGGCGGAGGTTGCAGTGAACTGAGATGGAGCCACTGCACTCCAGTCTGGGCGACAGAGCGAGACCCTGTCTAAAAAAAAACAAAAAAAAATTAATTTAGCTGACGTAAGCCTAGAAAACAAAAAGACACATGGATAGATAGATAGATTGATCAATCGATAGATCACTTGAAGCCAGGAATTTGAGATCGGCCTGGGCAAACATGGCAAGACCCTGTCTCTAAAAAAAGCAAAAACAAGGCCGGGCGCGGTGGCTCACGCCTGTAATCCCAGCACTTTGGGAGGCCAAGGCGGGCGGATCACAAGGTCAGGAGATCAAGACCATCCTGGCTAACATGGTGAAACCCCGTCTCTACTAAAAATACAAAATATTAGCCGTGCGTGGTGGCAGGTGCCTGTAGTCCCAGCTACTCGGGAGCCTGAGGCAGGAGAATGGTGTGAACCTGGGAAGTAGAGCTTGCAGTGAGCCGAGATCGCGCCACTGCACTCCAGCCTGGGCGACGGAGTGAGACTCTGTCTCGAGAGAAAAAATAAAAGCAAAAACAAAAACATATATATATTATTAAATAACAAAATACATATATTTAGGCCGGGCACAGTGACTCACACCTGTAATCCCAGCACTTTGGGAGGCTGAGGCAGGTGGATGACCTGAGATCAGGAGTTTGAGACCAGCCTGGCCAATATGGCAAAACCCAGTCTGTACTAAAAATACAAAAACTAGCTGGGTGTGGTGGCGGGCGCCTGTAATCCCAGCTACTCAGAAGGCTGAAGCAGAAGAATCGCTTGAAGCCAGGAGGCGGAGGTTGCAGTGAGCTGAGATTGTGCCACTGCACTTCAGCCTGGGTGACAGAGCGAGACTTCATCTCAAAAATAGTAAGAATAATAAAAAATAAAATAAAATAAAATGTTGTTCTAAAATTTAAAACACTGTTCTTTTGAATATTGCCTTACTGCTATATTTAAAGATTGCTGCTGCCTTTAAAGTATCACCGGTTATTTTGTAAAGGTCTAGAGTAGACTATTACTAGATTTAAGAACCAATTCTGGAGCATCACTGTCGGTAGTGGTCTACTTGGAGCCTCAGCCTGTTTTGCCAGCCCTCTCAGAAAGAGGTCCAACAAAGATGCTGCTGTGGTCCTTTCCACTAACAATGCTAGCACACTGACATCAGCACAACTCAAAGGCTGAGTAGGTGTGTCCAGATGGCAGAACTATGTTATAAGAGAGGCTGACAAAGTAAGTCTGTGGCATTTTCAGCTTCTATAGAGACAGTAGTCTCTGCCTAAAAACCAAAACTGAAAAATGAGGAACTCCCCATACAAAGGAAGGGGGCTAAGATTTGTACTGTTTAAAAAGATCAATAGGTTTCCACTGCAATACATAATAAATTCAGTGATGAAAGATATACACAAGGTGCTGAGAGGAACTGAAATGGGCTTTCAAAAGGATCATAAAGGTCACATATAATACCTTTGATATCAACAGAATAAAAAATTACAACCTTACCTTGTAATAACGAAAATAGTCTCTCTCTTGCAATTTTTTTATTTTGGGGAAGATTTTGTAGGTATTGAAGTTATCGATGCTGTCAATATCACACAAGCAATCATCCAGAACTCCAGTGACCTAGAATTTATATAATTTAAAATATGTAAACTACTGATGTTTCAACCTTAACAAATCTACACTATTATATAAAAATGTAATTTATTCATTCAAGTTAGCCGGTACTTGCTGATTAAGATATAACATTAAAGCAGTCAACTTACTTTTTACTGTGGCCAATGAGATAAAAAACAATAGAAAGATTAGCTATACCCATTTGGAAGAACATTTCTCTTTAGCACTTGAAGAGTATTGAATTCTCCTTCCTCTACTTAAACATATATGAAATCCAAGTGGCCACTGGAATACCAAAGCAATATCTTCCCAAACTAACCTAGAAGTTACAGACTGTAATAATATTGCTGTAGTAACCCATGTCTTTTATCTTTCCTTTAGGTGGCCATTTATGGAACACTTACATGACAGGCACAGTATTAAGAGCTTTATATTATCTCATTTCCTCTTTAAAAGTATTTCATGAATGAGGTATTATAATCTTCATATTACATATAAGGAAATTAAGGTTTAGCAACCTTAATTTTTCCAAAGTAGAAATGGAACTTATTCCCAATCTATCAGACTTTAAAATCAATGATCTTATCCACTATTCAAAGATTATTTGCTAATCCAAGAAGAGAAATTGGTATTTACAAAGTGAATTTAGAGTCCCAAAATTCCATAAAACAATCTTTGGCTAAATTAAAAATGGAACTCATTGACTGATATGCACAACCTGGATTTATCTTCCAGGAATTATCCTGAATGAAAAAGCCAAGCCAAAAGGTTACACACTATATGATTCCATTTACAGAACACTTTTTAAATGAAAAAATTTTAGAAATGGAAAGCATATCATTTGTTGCCAGGGATTAGGGACTGGGGTAGGGGATGGATGATGGGGTAGGTAGGGTAGGAAGGAAATAGTGTGGTTATAAAAGGGCAACAGAAGCAATATTTGTGGTGACAAAACTGTTCAGTATTTTGACTGTGATGGTGAACACATGAACCTATGTATGTGATAAAATTATATGGAACTAATACATACACATACAAACAAAACAAGTAAAACTGGGAGAATCTGAACAAGATCAGTAGATTCTATCACTGTCAATGTCCCAATTATAACACTGTACTACATGTTTACAGGATGTTACCATTGGGATAAATAGATAAAGAGTATATGGGATTTCTGTGTTATTTCTTGCAACTCCATATGAACTAACAACCAAAATTTTCAAAAAAACAAAAAATGGGTCTCAGCCTGTTAAAGGTTATTTATATGGTCCATAGGAGGAATATATGCAAGTAATGATCAGAAAATGGAAACCAGTCCTTGCAAGCTGTTTCATTCTCATTCTCTCTCCCTAGGAGTATAAATGTGTCCCCAGACTCCCTTCAACAGAGTTAGGGCTATATTATCTTGAGATAAATGATCATTACCAAGAATTTTGGCTCTAGAGTTACATTTACTTTGCTGTCCGACTCACTAGGATCCTGTCACTAACTCCCAAATTTCATTCCATTGCTCTCACTTACTACTTACAAGACTGCGAGTTCTATTTTTTCCTTCCTCCCCAGCCAGTCTGAAATATGTTTGTAAAGACTTCAAATCATAGCCCCTAAATAGGAAAAAAATACAAACCAAAAAGCTCCCTAGGTTTTAAAAATATTTTATCTAGTGATTGTTTTTTATATATAATATATAATTAAATAACAAAATAAATACTGCCAGTGTCCTTTAAGCTCCTCTTTAATTACATCTACCTCCCTCTCCCTAAAGGTAGAAATAAATCTTGTTTTTGTTTTGTTATCAATTTTTCCTTTTCTGGTAATGCAGCCCTAAACAATATGCTTGAGTTTTTTTGTTCTTTCTTATAAATTTTTCTTAAATTGTTGACTTTTAGTTTATAAAGCACCATATTTTACTTCTTTAAAACATTTTAATTGTGGTAGGGGATGGGTTAACAAAGTTGCCATGTACATATTTGTAACCTTTAAAAGACTACTGAGACAGAAACCTGTGTATCACCAAAAACTTTTTAAATACTGCCAGTATCATATTAAAAAGTAAAACAAAAAAACAGATGTTGGCAAGGATGTGGAAAAAAGGGAATGCTTATACACTGTTAGTGGGAATGCAAATTAGTTCAACACCTATGAAAAACAATATGGAGATTTATCAAAGAACTAAAAGTAGAACCATCATTTGACCCTGCAATCCCACTACCGGGCATCTATCTACCCAAAGGAAATCATTATATCAAAAAGACACCTGCACTTGAACGTTTATCACGGCACTATTCACAGTACTGAAGTCGTGCAATCATCACGTAGTCAAGTACCCATCAACGGTGGATGGAATAAAGAAAATGTGGTCTATGTACACCATGGAATACTAAGTAGCCATTTTAAAAAAATGAAATAATGTCCTTTGCAGCAACATGGATGCAGCTGGAGGCCATTATCCTAAGTGAATTAATGCAAAAGCAGAAAATCAAATACTGCATGTTCTCACTTGTAAGTGGGAGCTAACACTGAGTATACATGAACATAAGGAAGGAAACAACACTGGGGACCCCAAAAGGTGAGGAAAGAGGGGGACAAGAGCTGAAAAATTCCCTATACCCATGTAACAAACCTGCACATGTACCCCCTGAAACTTAGGAAAAAAATAAAAAATAAAAATAAATACTGCCAGTATCCTTTAAGCTCCTCTTTAATTACATCTACCTCCCTCTCCCTAAAGGTAGAAATAAATATTGTTTTTGTTATCAGTTTTTCCTTTTCTGGTAATGCATCCCTAAACAATATGCTTGAGGTTTTTTTCCCCCATTTTTGAACTTTAATATTAATGGAATCTAATGTGTGAATTTTTCTGTGATGTGCCTCTTTTGTTAACACGTTATTATGGCATCTATGATGATGAGGTTTGTAGCACCTCATTCATTTTCCCTGTTGCAAGTGTTACATTTTATTAGAATATCATAATTTATCCATTCTACTCTTGATGCATACAGTAGACAGAATGCCCCACCCCCAAGATGTCCCTAATTCCTGAAATAAGCAAATATATTATTTTTGCATGGCAAAGGGGACTTCAAAGATGTGATTAATTTGAGGATCTTGAGATGGAAGGGGTATACTGGATTATTCAGGTGAGATGAGTTCTTTATGAGAGAGGAAGGCGGGAGTGTCAGAGTCAGAGAGAGACTGGAAGATGCTATACTGCTGGCTCTGAAGATGAAGGAATAAAGAGGTCATAAGCCAAAAATCATGACAATACCTAGAAGCTTGAAAAGAAGCCTCCAGAAGGAAATGCAACCTTGCTGACATCTTGATTTTAACCCTGTAAATCCCATTTTCAGAATTCTGGCCCCCAGAACTACAGCATAATAAATTTATATTGTTTTTAAGTCATTATATTTGTGGCAATTTGTCACAACAGCAATAGAAAATTACCACAATCCAAATTTAGATTGTTTTCAGATTTGGCTAAAGAACATTGCTACACAAATGTTTCTGGGCACATATTCTGGTGTAAAAACACATGCAAGAGTTTCTCCAGGTTGGGCCAGGCACAATGACTCACACCTGTAATCTTAGCACTTTGGGAGGCGGACACAGGAGAATTGAGTCCAGCCTGGGCAACATGGCAAAACCCTGTCTCTACAAAAGTACAAAAATTAGCCAGGTCTGGTGGTGAGCATCTGTAGTCCCAGCTACTCAAGAGGCTGAGATGGGAGGATCACCTGAACTCAGGGGGTCGAGGTTGCAGTGAGCCAAAATCACACCACTGCACTCCAGCTTGGGGAAAAGAGCGAGACCTTGTCTCAAAAGAAAAAAAAAAAAAAAAAAAAAGAGTTTCTCCAGGTTATATGCTTAGGAATAGAACCGCTGAAAGTATATGTTCAGCTTTTTCAGGAAATGGCAAAATGATTTCCAAAACAGTTTTACCAATTTATCAGCCCCTCAACAATGAATGGGACTTACTGTTGAGCCATATCCTATTTTTTTTTTTTTTTTTTTTTGAGACAGAGTCTCACTCTGTCACCCAAGCAAGAGCGCAGGATCACAGTCTTGGCTCACTGAAACCTCCGCTTCCTGGGTTCAAGTGATTCTCGTGCCTCAGCCTCCCGAGTAGCTGGGACTACAGGCACATGCCACCATGCCCAGCTAATTTTTGTATTTTTAGTAGAGACAGCGTTTCACCATGTTGGCCAGGCTGGTCTCAAACTCCTGGCCTCCAGTGATCCGCCTGCCTCAGCCTCTCAAAGTGCTGGGATTGCAGGTGTGAGCCACTGTGCCAGCCCATATCCTCATCAATATTTAATATTAATCTATGCTTTAATTTTTGCCAATCTAGTTAGCATGAAAGATTATCTTTTTTCTTATTTGCACTAAGAAGGTACAATGTTCATATGTTTTATGACACATTTATATTTCTTCTTGTGTAAAATGTCTATTTATATCTTTGATTCACTTTTCTGTTAGGTTATCTTCTTCATACTCATCTGCAGAAATCAATACTGCTTCTTCCCTATTCTATTATATTCTTTTAGAACTCCAATTAGATGTATTAGACATTCTCACTCTATTCTCCAGGTATCTTAAGTTCTCTTTAATATTTATTATCCCATTGTCTCTTTAGATTTCATTCTGAATAATTTATTTGCATCTATCTTCCATTCACTTATTCATTAATTCAGCCTATTTACTGAGGCCCAACATAAGATTTGCACTGCTTTAAGTGCTGGGGATATAAAATTAGAAGAAAAAAAAAAGACAGACAAAAATCTCTGCCCTCAAGGAGTTTACATTCTCATAGGGAAAAGGGGGTGCAAAATGAATGAACAAAGTACAGAATGTCAGATGGTAATAAAGTGATATAGATAAAACTAAGGACTGGAAACAGACTGCAGAACTGGGGCTGCTAACCATTTAAAATAGGACAGTTACAGAAGGTGTCATGAAATTTTGGCAAGGAGCAAGACATGCAGGTATCTGGGGGGACAGCATTCCAGGCATTGGGAGTGAGTGCAAAGATCCTAATGCAGTAAGCTTGCCCCATGTTTTTGAGGAATAAGGAGGACTATACAATAGGCAAGAAGGAGAATTAGACCACTATAAGATTTTAGCTTTTACTGAATCTGAGTTATTTTCTCACACCAACCAATTCTCCAACTCTGAGACCAACTGGGTGGTGTCCAACAATTCAATTCTGACACTATCCACCATCAGTGCAGACCTACAAATTAAGGGCTGAGTCCCACAAGATGGCCCCACTCCTGACACAAATCTCAGGTCCTGAGCCACTTGTTCTTCTGACTGGCTATCAATTGTGGGTTCCTAGCACTTCCATTGCAGGTTTGATAATTTGCCAGAATGGCTCACAGAACTCAGAAAGACACTTTACTTACAGTTATCAATTATAAAGGATACAACTCAGTAATAACCAAATGGAAGAGATGCATTGGGCAAGCTACTAAGGCAGAGGGATGTGCAGAGCCTCCGTGCCTCTCTCAACATGCCACCCTCCCAATAAGTCAATGTATTCCCCAACCCGGAAGCTCATCAAATCAAGTTGTTCAAGAGTTCTTACGGAGCTAAATCTCCAGCACCCACCTCTCCCCTTCCTGCAGATTGGTGGGGCCAAAAGTTTCAACTTTCTAATCACTTGGGTCTTTGTGGTGACCAGCCCCCAATCCTGAGGCTATCTATGTAGGGTCCCCGTCTTAAGTCATTTCATTACTATAAACACAAGTGTGATTGAAAGGGGCTCATTATGAGTAACAAAAGGCACTCCTATGACTCAAATTCCAAGGGTTTTAAAGGGCTCTATGTCAGCAATCAGAAATAAAGACCAAATATATTTTTGGATGACACCATGTGAGACAGGAAGCCAATGGGGAGTTTTAAGCAAAGGGTGACAGGAATTTGGTGAGGATAGAATGTTTCTCTTTTATATTTGTGTGGTCAGGGACATTTAAGACAAGAGATGTCAGATAAAGTGACACTTTAGCAGAAATCTAACAGAGTGAATCATATGAATACACGAGAAAAGTGTGTGCTAGGTAGAAGAAACAGTACAAAGGCTTTCAGGCAAGAATGTATCTGCCATGTTTAAGAACAACAGGCAGGCCAATTTGGCTGGAGCTTATGTATAAGGGGGGAAGACTGTGGAAAAAGCAGATTTGGGGGAAAAGATCAGAAATGTGGTTTCTATATCAAGTTTGTGATATCTATTAATCCTCCAAGTGGAGATGTCCAAAAAGAAGTTGGATACATAGATCTAAAGCTGAGAATCCTAGTCTTGGAGACTAACACTGAGAGTCCACTGTACATTTGGTATTTAAAGCTAAGAGACCAGAAGAGATGACTAAGATAAAGAGAAGAAAGAGTACAAGCTTTGAACCCTGAGGTTCAAATGATTAGCAGTCAATGGCAGGGGAGGAACAAAGAAAGAATGCTAAGACAGACTGGTCCACTAGACAGGAAGACAATCAGAAAAGTTTAGTATCCAGGATGTCAGAATAAAAATTATTTCAAGGAGAGTGAGTGATGAGTTGTGAAAAAATGCCGCCAACAGGTAAAGCTGAGGTTTAAGAACAAACCGTTGGCCTTAGCAACAAGGAGGACATCGGCGACCTTGCCAAGAGCAGTTTCAGAGGTGCGGTAGGAGCAAAAGTCTGATTAGAATGGGCTGAAAAATAGAAGAACCAGCAAAGGAAGAATAAATTAAATCTAACTCTTGAATTTTCTAGAGGGAACAGAAAAAATAGGCAAAGGCAGAAGGAATATGTGGATGAAAAGATAACTTTAAAACAGTAGAATTAGCAGCATGTTTTATGATATATAGTCTGGCTTTATCTCTTCACTCAAATCTCATGTCAAATTATAATCCCCAGTGTTGGGGAGGGGCCTGGTGGGAGGTGTTTGAATCATGGGGGCGGACTTCCCCCTTGCTGTTCTCCTGATAGTGAGCTCTCATGAGATCTGGTTGTTTAAAAGTGTGCAGCACTTCCCCGATTGTAAGTTTCCTGAGGCCTCGCCAGCCATGCTTCCTGTACAGCTGTGAGTCAATTAAATCTCTTTTCTTTAAAAATTACCCAGTCTCAGGCAGTTCTTTACAGCAATACAAGAATGGACTAAGCCAGGCACAGTGGCTCACGCCTGTAATCCCAGCACTTTGGGAGGCCAAGGCAGGCAGATCACTTGAGGTCAGGAATTTGAGACCAGCCTGGCCAACATGGCAAAACCCCATCTCTACTAAAAATACAAAAATTAGCTGGGCGTTGTGGCAGGAGCTTGTAATCCCAGCTACTTGGGAGGCTGAGGCATAAGAATTGCTTGAGCCTGGGAGACAGAGGTTGCAGTGAACTGAGATCGAGCCACTGCTCTCCAGCCTGGGTGACAGAGCGAGACTCTACTCCAGGAAAAAAAAAAAAAAAAGAATGGACTAATACATGATGACAGTAAAATTCCATTTGAGAAGGAAAAACTGATGATCCAGGAAAGAAAGAGAAGATTACTGGAGCCATGTCCATGAGCGGCAAACAAGGAATGAGACCTAACATACAAGTGAAGGGGCTGCCTTTGATAAAAGCACACAGTTCATCAATGGTAACCAACAGGAAGTCAAAATATGTGGGTACAGAGACTAGTAAATGGATAGATATGGGTTACTCTGTGGAATTTCTCTTCTGATTGCTCCAATTTTAGTAAGGTATGAACTGAGAGTAAGGATAGATGAAAAGGTGATGGAGAATTAAGGAGAAAGAAAAAAGACATGAAATGGTTGTCTAATTCAATAATCATTTCTTCAGCTGGATATGATCAGCTATTTAATCTATCCATCGAGTTTTAAATTTCAGTTCTAGAACTTCTAATTCATTATTATTAAAATCTTTTTGGCCACTCTTTAAAATCTTTTTTCCCTTCTATACTTCAAGTTTCTTTTTATTTGAACACATTAAACATAGTGATATTAAATTATCTGATAATTTCAGAACCTAAGGTCATTATGTGTTTGTTTCTGTTGTCTAATATCTGATTCATGGTGCCCTGTTTCCTTGGGTGTTTTGTGATATTTTACTGCTAGCTGTTTATTCTCCTTGGCACTTCATCTTCAATAATTTTTCGAGGTTTGAGTTGAAAATAAATTCCTCCAGAGGTGATGGATATTTGCTTTTATTGGAAACCCAGGGCACACAAATTTGGGACTGCTATGAATTTTCCCAGAATAAATATTTGGCTTGCGAACCTGTGTGAGGACTGTCTCATGGTTACAAATTCTCAAAAGTTTCTTCCCTGCTTCTCCCAGCAAGTTTCTTTTATTCCCTTTACTTAGAATGGGTTTCATTTCTCGTTTACCCTTATACTGAGGATGTAATTGTTTGAAGTCCAGGCTCCAAACAGCTACATCCTCAATATAAGGGTAAACGAGAAATGAATTATGGTGGAGGCTCCTATTAGTTTCCTCTCACTGGGCAGACACGGGGTTATTTCTTGCCCACTCCACTCCATGCAACTGCTAAAGCAGCTCAAGATCTTTAGGGTTTAGGAGAAGCCCTCAGAGTAACGGACTGGTATAGCACTATTTAAGTTCTAAGTTTCTGGCTTTTCATATATTGAGGGGCTCTGTGTATTACTCAATTTTATGCCACCTCAGAAATGCATTTAGAAAAACTTACATATATCTAATTGAAATTACTTTTTAAAGGAAGATTGTTATATCACTTGTATGCACTATGCCTTTAGTTTCCAGTGCTTCACCAAAGTATATTTACATTTCATTTATACGATAATGGGGCATGAGATATACAAACACGTATCATTTTGTGTGTTCAAAAATATTTTTCTGCTTTTATTTTGGAAGGGGATAACATTTAAAATATGTATCTCCTTTAATGACTTTGATTTCTTGTGAACAGAGGTAGTTTTCAAAAATTCTAATTCTTCCCTTTATCAGTTTTCTACCAATTTATTATATGGATGAAGTCAAAGAACTGGCTGAATTCCACTTTTTGATTTTCCTATTTTCCATCTCTTTTTCTATACTAGAGAGAACTGAAAATACCAACATACTGTATAGACCAGAAAGGGTTCCACATTAGGGCTCCACTGTAAAGTCACTCATTCAATTAAGACATTTAAGTTCTTTGAACTTCAATTACCTCAATGGTCCCACTTCGGAGAGATTGTACGTGTAACCATGTTATAGATTAAAGTACTATCTAAAAGATGATCAGGCCAGGCACGGTGGCTCACGCCTGTAATCCCAGCACTTTGGGAGGCCAAGGCGGGTGGATTACCTATGGTCAGGAGTTCGAGACCAGCCTGGCCAACATGGTGAAACCTCATCTCTACTAAAAAATACAAAATTAGCCGTGTGTGGTGGCACACACCTATAGTCCCAGTTACTCGGGAGGCTGAGACAGAAGAATCACTTGAACCCAGGAGGTGGAGGCTGCACTGAGCCAAGATGGCGCCACCGCACTCCAGTCTGGGTGACACAGAGCGAGACTCCATCTCAAAAAAAAAAAAAAAACAGCACAGTAGAAAGTACTGCTGGCGGCCTGGGCGCGGTGGCTCACGCCTGTAATCCCAGCACTTTGGGAGGCCGAGGCAGGCGGATCACCTTAGGTCAGGAGTTCAAGACCAGCTCGGCCAACATGGCAAAACCCTGTCTACTGGGAAAAAAAAAAAAAACACACACACAAAAATTAGCCAGGCGCGGTGGCAAGCACCTGTAATCCCAGCTACTTGGGAAGCTGAGGCAGACAGAATTGCTTGAACCTGTGAGGCAGAGGTTGCAGTGAGCCAACACATGCCATTGCATCCAGCCTGGCCAACAGAGTGAGACACTATCTCAAAAAAAAAAAAAAAAAGAAAGTAAGTACTGCTGGCAACAAAAACCAAATATATTCACTTGGAAGACTGTTTGGCACAATGCTACTTCAAATATTCACAAATCTTTAACTGTTGGACTATATTTATATTCATTTGGATATAATGAAATTAAAAGTACAGGGGCAGGCCAGGTACAGTGGCTCACACCTGTAATCCCAGCACCTGGGAAGCCAAAGTAAGAGGCTCGCTGGAGGCCAGGAGTTGAAGATCAGCCTAATAACATAGTCCCCATCTCTACACAAGAATTTTAAAAATACAGGTGAAATTATAAAACATTAATTACACATAATTAGTGGTAAATGAAAAAAATTTAAAATGAAGTTTCTAGACAGATAAGCATAAATTAATATGTGCTATATAAAAAGAGAAAATGGGAACTCTCATTTCAGAAAAATATCGAATTGTAAATTTCACTCAGAAACACTCAACTAGTGACTAGAAAATAATTTTGCCAAAGACAATTTGGAAAATTTACTTTAGTAAGTCTGCCCAGATTACCACTATCTATTCCATCTCAGTGTTTTCCAAGTGAGGTCCAAGAGGTAGTCAAAAGATAACTTTGCTACAGTTATACTGTACTTGCAATGTTTGTTTAAAATGCTGATATCTGGGCCATATTCCAGATCCAATCAATACATGTGGAGGTAGGGCCAGAGAATCTGCATTTTAACATGTTCCCCAATACCAAAAATTTGCCCCTTTTATTTTTATGGTTCAAACACAGACACAAACGGACTATTCAGGCACTCTGGGATTTAGTGCAGGGCACCATAAAACCATGAAATAAAGTGACTCAATTCAGAAAAACATGTTTTCACGGTTACACTCAGAGTCACCTTCAATTTTTCTTGGATGAGCACTAATTGCTTCAAATGACATCTCCCCTCATCATCAGGCCACCTGAGACCTTCGTTTTATTTTTTTGGCCCTCAGCAGTGCTGCCTCCTTGCAGCAGGTGCAGACAACAAGCAGCAGCACCTGGCAATCAATTCAAATTCTACTGAATAGAAGCAAACACCTCTCTGAAGGCGAAAGGATCTGGTCAGCTAAGCCTCAGATTTCTAGCACACTGAGAACACTTGTAATCATCGCTTCACATCAACAACCAGCCAGCACCTCACGACTGCCAGAGCCAGAGCCTCCATCCACGAGCCACAACGCCCCACTCAGACCCCCCCAGTCTCGTATTGGGACTTACCTGGCGATGCCACTTGGCAGACACAGCTCAGCTGGGTAAAAATAAAGCAATCTTGAGCAAGGGAAGGTGCTCGAGGAAGAGTAAAAGCCCAGAAAGCTCTAGTCCGACAGTTCGAGTGAAGTCTTGCCCCCTCCCAATCCCCTGCGCCTGGCGGGGCCTCGGGGGTCTGCGGAGTGCCCCCAACTCTCAGTCTCCCTCCCTCACTAACTCCTGAAGGGAAGGACGTCACCGTTTCTCTGGGCGCTCGCTCCCTTCGCAAGACAGCCGAGGTGGTTCATGCCCGTCCCATCTCCCGCCACACTCCCAGCCGCTTAACACATCCGAGAGGAAAAAACGAAAACAGCTCAGGGGGACCGTCACCATCTTCCTCTTTTGACTGCCATTACCCGGAGTGTCGCCGTCCCCCCACCCTGCGGGCGGTTCGCAGATGTTTCCCGCACTGGACGGTCAGGTCTCTGCTCCCCGGGTTTTCTGCTCGCCAGAAATCACCTCTTTTCTGGCCCGGCCCTGCCCGGCCCTCCCCGCGTCACAGCCGCGGCCCGTGTGTAGCGGCCGCGGGTGTTCGGCCGGGGGTTCCCGGCCCGCTATCACTCGGGCTTACCTGCGCCTCGACGACGCTCCGCAGGAAGCTCAGGGTGACCAGCAGCTGCACCGCGGCCGCTACCCCCTGCCCAGCGCCTGCCCGGCGGACCCCTTGGCTCATGCTGACCTCTACCCACACCGCGGCCAGCCGGACCCCTCGGGGCCGGGGAACGACGGGCGGCCCAGGCGACGACCCAAGGGGACGGTTCCCAGCGGCCGAGCGACTCCAGGGTCAGAGGTCTGCACTCCAGTCCGGAGGCAGGCGACTCTTTCCCCAACACCCGGCAGCTGCGAGTGAGGCAGGAAAGGCGAGCGCCCCCACTTCATCCCCCAGGCGGCCCCGCCCCCGGCTCGCTTGGCTCCTCGGCCACGCCCCCAAGCGCGGGGCCTTGTGGGAGTTGTGGTCCTGGGCGGTCGCCTAGGCGCCGCGGCAGGAAGGCGGAGCCGCTGAACGAGAGGACTCGGGAACTACAACTGCGAAGGCCGCCCCGCCTCCCCGAGGCCTCGGGCTCCGCGGCGGCCAATGAGGCGGGACCACGCGGGCCTCCAAAACACCGGGGGGTGCGGGCGGGGGAAGCGGGGCGACCTCTTCTCCGGGAAACCAGGCTGAGGACCTCTCTGCGTCGGTCCCTGCTGTCGCTCCTGGAGTCCTCGCAGACGCCAGGCTCTAGGATTCACCCAGTACGCGGGCGAGTTAGGAACGGACGGTGCGGGATCTTTGACTTTCGGTCTGAAGCGTATTCTTTGTCTCATTCATTTTTCTGTAGCCTCACATCTGCTGTGGGTGCCTATGTAAGCTACCTGTGACTTGTAGAGATGGCTTCGGCTCTTTTTTAATTTCATGCACCCTAGATGTGGATGTCATCTCCTGCCCCGCCCCAGCCCGACTCCTAGGTTGACACGTGCGAGTATAACGCATGCTAAAGAATGAAGACAAACCCAAAGGCTTATGATGAAATATGGGGATGGGGTAAAACAAAAAAAAACTTAGAGTGACATAGATTGGGCGCAGATCCCAACTCTAAAACATTCTAGCTAGTTATTGGGCCTTAATTCCCACCTCATATCTTGTTCTAGGGCTACATAAGATTAGATACAGAAAGAGCTGAGTATAGTGCCTAGCACCTAGGAAGCACTCAATAAATGGTAACTGCTATTAGTTTTATTAATGCCTTTGATTTCTACAAAACGAGTAATACATCTCCCTTGTGTTTATGTAGCGTGTATTAGTTTCTCATTGATGCTGTAAGAAACTATCACACATTTAGTTGCATACAACAAAAGAAATTCATTACCTTATAGTACTGGAGATCAGGTGTCCAAAATGGACCTGTAGGGCTGTGTTCCTTTTGGAGGCTCTCAGGGACAATGTGTTTCCTTACCTTTTCCAGCTTCCAGAGGCCACCTGCATTCCTTACCTCATGACTTCACATCTCCTTCACTCTCTCTGCTTCCCTCGTCACATGCCTTCTCTTGTGACCCTAACTCTTCTGTCTCTCTTGTATAAGGACCCTTGTGATTACATTGGTTACAGACCATCCTATCTCAAAATCCTCAACTTGATCACATCTGCACAGTCCCTTTTGCCATATAGGATAACATATTCACAGGTTCCAGAGATTAGGATGAGGATTTATAAATAGAGGGTCATTAATCAGCCTACCACATAGTGGTTTATACCTTTCAGAACCAGCAGAGCATTAAACCAAATGCAGGGTCCTGGGGTGGCTGACTGCATAGGTCACATGCCCATGAAGCCAGTCCTGCCTGTCCTTTTCCCCTCCAGCAACTCTTTCCCTTCTGCCTCCAAACTGTCCAGATCTTCCCTAGCTTAAAAGCAAAAAGAAATTGGCTGGGTGTGGTGGCTCACACCTGTAATCCCAGCACTTTGGGAGGCTGAGGCGAGCAGATCACCTGAGGTCAGGAATTTGAGACCAGCCTGACCAACGTGGAGAAACCCTGTCTCTACTAAAAATACAAAATTAGCCGGGCAAGGTAGCACATGCCTGTAATCTCAGCTACTTGGGAGGCTGAGACAGGAGAATCGCTTGAACTCAGGAGGCGGAGGTTGCGGTGAGCTGAGATCACGCCATTGCACTCCAGCCTGGGCAACAAGAGCGAAACTCTGTCTCAAAAAAAAAAAAAAAAAAATTGTTGCTTGATTTTTCCAGCTACTTTTCCATGTCTCCTTTTCTCTTCCAAACCTATACTTCCTATCTGCTCACTGCCTTCTTCCCTTCATATAAATGTGCTTTTGATAAGAGAAACTTTTTATCAAGTTTGGTAGACTTTTTAAAAGATTCCTTGTCTGTGCTGTATTTGAGGTTGTCAATAACACATACTTCCTGGAATTTTGTTATGCAAAACTTCTTTTTTTAAATTGTGGGTTATAAATTTTCCTATTATAAAATCTCGGGTTCTTTAAGGACTCTCTCTAGTGCCTGGATATCAAAGGCAGAATTCATGGCTTTCCAGAGGCTTGAAATATTTGTTATTAAAGAACAAAGGAAGAAAGTGGGTTCGGGGGTGGAGTAAAAAAAAGAGAGAGAGACAAAGTGGACAGGGAACTTTAATGCAGACAGGGGTCAGATAGCTTTTGTCCTCTTAGTTACCTAATCCAGAAAGTCACAGTAACAAACCTCCCCGTTTGCTTTTGTTTTCAGCTCAGAAGCCTTACACATAACTTCTAGGGACAAATGAGATTTTTCTTGGTGAGTGAAATTGGAAATAGCAGGTGTTTGTCATGAAATAGGGGCATACCAAGACTCACTTAAAGTGGTGTCTGTCATGATCTGTTTTAGTGTTCATTGTTAAGAGTGGTATGACGGGGTTGTTTCTTTGTGAACAGGCAGCCCTCCTCTTTGTTCTCTCATTCTGACTGATTTACCTCTGCTTTCCCTAAAATCAGCTACACTGAAACCAGCATTGTGAGAGGCCCTGGGGATGTGCTATCACCCATGCTTCCTGCAGATGATGTTCAGTTAGAACCTTCCCATTCCTAAGGCTGTGGTTAGAAGTTGAAACAGGAAGAAAGTGCATACACTAAACCCCTTTGATTGCACGCCACAAAAATCAGCTCTAGCTCTAATTTTTTTTGAAATAGCAAATGAAAAAAATGTCAAATTGCTTACAGTACTGAGGCAGATTTCACCACACACCTTTAGAAAGGTAAGTCCATCAGGACAGAATTCAGGGACTCTAAATTAGAGTACAACTCATGATTGAACAGTCTCTTCTAGGGCATTGCCATTATACTTATCAATTCCCATCGCTTTTAGTCTTCTGTCCCTCCTATCAAAATTCACATTCTTTCTGGAGGTTAGCTTGCAGGTAGAATGTGAGCACCTTGATTCACAGTCCTACAGACCACAAGAAATGAGCCAGAGGTAGTTGCACAAACTACTACTTTCTTTTTCTTTTCTTTTTTCTTTTTTTTTTGAAACAGAGTCTCACTCTGTCACCCAGGCTGGAGTGCAGTGGTGCCATCTCACTGCAACTTCCACCTCCCAGATTCAAGCGATTCTCATGCCTCAGCCTCCAGGGTAGCTGGGATTACAGAAGTGTGTCACCACACCTGGCTAATTTTTGTATTTTTAGAAGAGATGGGGTTTCACCATGTTGGCCAGGTTGGCCTCAAACAACTTTCTATTTTTAATAGAGGGGAAAGGGATGCTGGTCAGAGAAAGGCAACAGATGTCTCCTTCAGGATGCTGAGTTTTTATTGAGTACTCCATTTGAATTCACTTCCTTTACCTCAGCTTGTATTCACACATTCATTAAATTATCACAGATGTCTTTCCACGCCGCCCCCCAGTGGATATATTTTTATTCAGCCATTTAGTTTACAACATGAGGTAAAAGGAAAAAGTTCTCCCTGACCAGTATTTTACACAGTTGTAGTGTAAAACATTTTGGACTTCAGGGATTTATAAGGGATTACATTTCTGAAAAGTTGGGATCAGTTTAAACAAGTTTTTTTTTGTTTTTTTTTTTCTCGAGACGGAGTCTTGCTCTGTCACCCAGGCTGGAGTGCAATGGCGCAATCTTGGCTAACTGCAACCTCCGCCTCCTGGGTTCAAGTGATTCTCCCATCTCAGCCTCCCGAGTAGCTGGGATTATAGGCACGCACCACCATGCCCAGCTAATTTGTTGTATTTTTAGTAGAGATCTCAAACAAGTTTTAACTCTGAATTTTCCAGGTGACTCTTCCCTTCCAATAGTAACAAACTCTAGTTAGTTACGTAAGTTTCTTTAAGGCCAAGTTTTATCACTGTTGCTGATATCCTTAGAGCTGAAGCACTGCTATTTCAATCAGTATCCACTAATTCCACTTCAGAAACGAACTTTGTATTTAGTGGAATTTTGGCTTCAGGCTGCCCTTTCTTTGCATAAGCCCATTCTGCTTCACTCTTCAATCGAGGCTTTTCTCCTTTACCCAGTCAACAGTGCTTCATCCCATCCTGTGATAACTTTGCCTACTCTGACCTTAAAACTTAAAGGCTTGGTATTGGTATTTTTCTTTTTTGAACTTGTTTGAATATTAGTATCAAAAACAGTCCCATCCTGTAGTGTTCCTGTATACCAGCCTTGAACAACATCTCCCCATCTCCCAAAAAGGAGAGATGTTATTCACTGCTGTTCATTTCCTTTTTTTGGGGAGATGGAGTTTCGCTCTTGTTGCCCAGGCTGGAGTGTAGTGGCGTGATCTCAGCTCACCGCAACCTCCACCTCCCGAGTTCAAGCGATTCTCCTGCCTCAGCCTCCCGAGTAGCTGGGATTAACAGGCATGTGCTACCTTGCCTGGCAAATTTTGTATTTTTAGCAGAGACAGGGTTTCTCTATGTGGGTCAGGCTGGTCTTGAACTCCTGACCTCAGGTGATCCACCCGCCTCGGCCTCCCAAAGTGCTGGGATTACAAGCATAAGCAAATGCGCCTGGCCTTATCTCATGTTTTTAGAACAGATTTTGCATATTTTGGTGGACCCTCAGCCAGAGACTCTCCAGACTTTGGGTTTATTTGGGTTTATCTTCATTAAGCTTCACATTTTTCACTTGCAACACTTACAGTATTGATACCCTTGAAACACTCAGTTTCAAAAAGATGGTTATAGGCTGTAACCAAATGGTCCTTGTTAGCTGTCTTGCCTGCATTTTTAATGTTTCCTAATAATTTATGTTCTGCAAGAAACGAATCTGAATTGTGGTCCTGCAGAAACTTGATAAAGTCCCTCTTGGGCAGGTGCTTACTGCGCAGCTGCTCCAGGGTTCACGCCTGCAGTGGAACGGCCACTGCCATCTTCCCCCACTGCCTGTGCCTCACTGAGCCAGCCGGCCGCAGTTCCCACAGATGTCTTGATTGTAATACACCAAAAAGCATGCGTCAGGACACTGGCTGACCAGAAATGGCAACAGTATGCCTATTGTAGCTTATGTAATTTATGATTTACTATCACCACCGAGGTTAGATGAACCTAATTACCTGGAAGTGACTTACACGAAAACTGACCACACTTTTCGAATGGAAGAATTTATGAGCCTCTTATATTTCCTAATCTGAGATGGATCAGGGCTAGCTATGTCAATCAGCACAATTCCCTCATTGTAAGCAATGATAATATATAATTGACTTGGCCAAGATCAATTATGACAGTGGGTCGCAGGGGTGTCCGAGACAGAGAATACAGTCATGGGCTCTTAGTTTTTGTTTCTGGTTAAGCCACTAAAGCCTATTAAGTTTAGCCTCAAGCGGCTTCCTTACATATTTAATTTCAGCCTAAAGGTATTTCTATACATCACGAACTATAACAACTGGAGGTATACACCAACGGTGACCCACACCTGTGCCAGTCACTAAGTTTTGGCCAAAGAAATGTAGCCAACTGTTTGAACCGTGTTAAAATAAGGCAAACGCCAAGCTGTAACCAATCCAGTTGTTTCTGTACCTCACTTCCATTTCCTGTAGGTCAGTTTCCTTTTGCTGTCCATAAATCTCCCACGATGTGGCTGCGCGGGAGTCTCTCTGAATCTGCTGTGATTCTGGGGGCTGCACGATCGTTCGTTGCTCAAACTCTTTTAAATTTAATTCGGCTAAGTTTTTCTTTTAATGAGCCCCTTCCTCGTCCCTTTTTTCTGCTTATCACTAGAGACAGAAACTAAAAACCATGGCTTCAGGCCGCGGAAAGCCTAAAACTAAACAAAACGAAACGAAGCCAAACAGACTCAACCATGGATGACCTCAGTGTGCTTCACCTTTTCAAACGGATAGTGTCAAAATGACAGAGGAGTTAAGAAGAAACTACTTAGGCAGATAGTGAGGGTATGGGAGTCCTCAGTAAGGTTTTTCTTTTTAATGAAAAGCAGCCCCCAAATCATTTTCTAACAAAGAGCAGCCTGCAAAATCGAGCTGCAGACATAGACAATCAAGCCGGAAGCTTGCAGGGGTGCATACCGGTAGGAAAAAAGCCACCTGGGACTAGACATCTTCAAATTAGCGGCCCCATCTTCCCTCTTCTTTGTCAGAAAGGAGCAGGCAAGATGGCCTGGTTAAGTGGAAAGCCATTTGCATAATAAGATTAGGGTGGGGTAGCCAGCCTTTCCCCGCCCACTATGTAAATGTAACACCTGATCCGTCCAATCTGTGGGCCTTATGTAAATCAGACACCGCCTCCTCAAGCCGAACTATAAAATCCAGCGCACTCCATCACCCACCGGTCTTTCCTTGCAGAAGCCTCTGTCTCACTAGAGAGCTACTCTGCTTTCTCTTTCTTTTGCCTATTAAGCCTCTGCTCCTAAACTCATGTGTGTTCCTGTCCTAAATCTTCCTGGCGCAAGACGACGAATCCTGGGTATTTACCCCAGACAACGAAGCCACTTCAAAAAGTGTTTCGATCAAGATCAACCTTATTTGTATTGGAAATGTAGTCACACTGACACCGTGTACAAAAACAGATTGATGTTGAGAAGCCAGAAGAACAGAAAAAATAAAACAAAAACAGATTTACATTTATTACAGATGGACTCTGTTTTACTCTCAAATAGAAGTGATTCCCCTCATCTCTTTATTTCTATGCTTCCCTTCCCTTCTTCCCGCTCCATGTTCCCCTTTTCTGTGGAAGGATGGCTAATCGTCTCATCTCTGTGTCCAGAGTGAATCAGTGGAGTCCTATGGCAGTTCCTACACACAGTATTCACGTAGCACCAACAATCTGCCACTCTGTATTAGAGTTAGCTTTTCTGTGTACTGTGTATGCGTATTATAGCCCATCTAGAGTGCAAAGTTTTAGTAGACTCTATCTATTTGTACCGTATTCTCTTTAGTGGCTACTGTTCCTAAGAACAGTAGTCAGTAAACACTTGTTCATTGACTGGATATTGTTTACTATCTCAATTTATCTTAGGAGATAATATCTCAGAACCAATCCTGAATGTGGGGGCCCCTGAACATTTCCTGTGGAGGGCTGGGAAGTGGCTTTGTTAGAAAGGAATATTCCTGGAGAATGCAGTAAAATGAAACCGACAGTCTTCCATTAAAGCAAAGGATTACAGTTTTTTTTTACAACAGAGGTGCATTTGGGGGCTATGAAAAAGATTGAGGGAGTAACAGACTCCTCAGACTGGTGAAGGACCATTGCTGGAAACCATTACTGCAGGAGTTTGCCTCAAGAAGTACTTGAAATGTCTATAGCTAATGGATTCTGAAGCAAAGGCTTGAGAATTATCTTGAATAGATTGCTGTAATGCTTAAGAAACGTCGTGAATTAACAAAATTGCACTAAGCATTTACATTTTCAAGATCTCATCAAATGTATTGTGTTTCTTTGATGACCGTATGGCTTGGTTAACTTGTGACTTCTAATGAAGGAGGAAATTGTTGATGAATGGCTCTAAATAAAAGTCAAGGTAATGGGATGGAAACTAAAAACACCAGTAATTTTCTCTCCTAATAGCAAGCTGAATTGTGATTACTGAACCTGCTGAGTAATGGCAATCTGTTGTGTTTAAACAACTGTGTTTGTAGATGGTACTGGTGTGTTAACAACTGACCATGCCAGTTTCTTAAAACTGGATTTCCATCTGTGACATAGTTATAGGGGAATTTTGGCTTGGTGATTAGATTTCTGAATTTTACTGAGGGGATTTCTTCGCCTTGTCTTTTGACAATTAATAGGGATTAAAAGTTGTTAAAATCAAAGAACTTGTCTGGCCTGCAGCTTGTTATTAGTTATGCTACCTTAAGTATTCCTTGTTTTTCTTTAATATTTACTCAGCTGTGTCATTCTCAAGTATTTTCACTTAAGAGCATTAAAGCTGATAAACTTGAATCAGTTAGAATTAATTCTATTTCTAAAGGAGTTGACATGGTGATATAGTTTGGATAAAACCTTTTCTGTAACAAACATGATACTATGCTAGAAGTTAATATGTGATGAGGAATCTAAATAATTGGAAAAACTAGAAACATAATTCTACCAATTTCCACCCCCCACATAACTTCTATAATGCAAAAAAAAAAAAAAAAAGCCTTCACATAACCACAGAATTGTGAGGCACATTGGGACCACTTGACTTCTGCCCACTCTCCTTATCCACTCCATTCCACATAGGGTCCAGGGTAAATCACAGTGACAGCTAATACCATGAACATCACAGGAAGTAGAAAGGATCAAGGTCATAGAGATGGTGGCAGCAAATAGGAAAAGGCTGACTGCACAGCCCAGCTGGACATGGTGGTCAGTGGGTGGTTCTATGCTGGTACTAAGTTCTTCCCTCCTGTTGGTCTGTACCCCAAGTCATTGGGAGCCTCAATAAGTTTAGTTTCTCTACATTCAGCTGCTTTTTCATTAGTTCGGTTGAGTATGTACATGGATTACAGTCAGATGCGTCGTCTGTGCCTTATGCTGCTGCTGCTTCTCTGCCGCCATTGCCTTACTGTCCCCCTTCCCCACCCACCTGCCAGGAGAGTCTGGTTTTGTTGTTGTTGTGTTGTTTTTTGAGATGGAGTCTCGCTCTGTCGCCAGGCTGGAGTGCAGTGGCATGATCTCAGCTCACTGCAACCTCTGCCTCCGGGGTTCAAGCGATTCTCCTGCCTCAGCCTCCCGAGTAGCTGGGATTACAGGCACACACCATCACGCCCAGCTTATGTTTGTATTTTTAGTAGGGACGGGGTTTCACCATGTTGGCCAGGATACTCTTGATCTCTTGACCTCATGATCCTCCTGCCTCGGCCTCCCAAAGTGCTGGGATTACAGTCATTAGCCACCACACCCAGCCGAGAGTCCGGTTTTTATTGTGCAGCCTCAGTGAGGTAAGATCCTGACCTCCTGTGTGTTATTCTCTCACACTTGCCCACATCTGGACTTAGATTTGGATTCCACTTAGCCTTAACAGAATCATCTGCTTGCCGGTTTTACTTTATATAATTTCCATTGTTCCATTTAGGGACTTTTGATGATCTCTCAGAGATACACATTCTTCAGGGATCTTTTTCTTCTACTTGAGCAGGATGGCCTTGCATATAGAATTGTATTTAAATATACTGTGCTCTTTTTCTGGAAAAGACAAGCTTATCGTATAATCTGCAAGGCATTAAAAGTGACTCTTACCTAATACTTCTCAAGGTTGGAATCCCAGTGGAATTCTTGTTTGTGATCATCCACAGTCACCCACAGAAGCACGATGAGCCACCACAGTAAACTTACGTGAGAAAATTGTTCTAGTCCCCAAGAATGAAAAAGGCCATTCTTGTGTCTCCTTTTTCCCGTGATTCCAGGGATTTGCTTTCTATTCTGTTATCCAATGAAATCATCTCGCTATTTCTTAGGAATATTTTCACCAGTCTGCATTGCCACCAAGTTATAAAACAATCAGAAAACAGAGAGAAAATGTCCAATTATTTCAGAGATTATAATTATTTGGGAGTATCTTCTCCCCAGTTTTCAGATACTGTTTTTTTGGTTGTTTGTTTGTTTGTTTGTTTGAGACAGTCTCACTTTGTTGCCCAGGCTGGAGTGCATTGGCGCGATCTCGGCTCACTGCAACCTCCGCCTCCCAGGTTCAAGCAATTCTCTGCCTCAGCCTCCCAAGTAACTGGGATTACAGGTGCCCACCACCACGCCCAGCTAATTTTTGTATTTTTAGTAGAGATGAGGTTTCACCATGTTGGCCAGGCTGCTCTTGAACTCCTGACCTCGTGATCCACCTACCTCAGCCTCCCAAAGTGCTGGGATCACAGGCATGAGCCACTGCACCTGGCCCAGATACTGTTTTAATGATGTTTTAAAGTCTGATCTTCCTGGTGGTGGTTTTTATGTTTTATTTTTTTAGACGGAGTCTCGCTCTGTCACCCAGGCTGGAGTGTAGTGGCGTGATCTCTGCTCACTGCAAGCTCCACCTCCCGGGTTCACACCATTCTCCTGCCTCAGCCTCCCGAATAGCTGGGACTACAGGCGCCCGCCACTACACCCGGCCAATTTTTTTGTTTTTTTTTTGTATTTTTAGTAGAGACGGGGTTTCACCGTGTTAGTCAGGATGGTCTCGATCTCCTGACCTCGTGATCCGCCCGCAGCGGCCTCCCAAAGTGCTGGGATTACAGGCGTGAGTGACCGCACCCAGCCTCCTGGTAGTGCTTTTTAAAGGGATCCCTGGATTTATCATACAACCACATTAGAGCGATTCTTCACCATACAAAATAACTTACCAAAGAGGTTTTCCTACCTAATAACTTCATTGTACTTTTGAAATCACCATACATAAAATTTACTTATTTATCAAAAAAAGGCTCTAAGACTTTTAATAATGGAAAAAACATTTTTGAAAATCAGAAGGTGTGCTTATTTGAAACCAAATGTTGATACCTGGAAGCTTTGTGTAGTCATTTTTTAAAAATAGGCTTTATCTTTTAGAGCAGTTTTAGTCTCACAGCGAAGTCAAGTGGAAAGTACAGAGAGTTCTCCTACAACCCTGCCCTGTGCACACTGCCTCCCTAGAGTCAACATCACCACCTCCGGGGTACATTTGTTACAATCAATTAAGCAGCATTGACACATCATTATCAAGTTCATAGTTTACATTAGGGTTAACTCTTTGTATTATATATCCTATGGGGTTTTTGTCTTGTTTTGTTTTGAGATGGAGTCTGGCGCTGTAACCTAGGCTGGAGGGCAATGGCAGGATCTTGGCTCACTGCAACCTCCGCATCCTGGGTTCAAGCGATTCTCCTGCCTCAGCCTCTTGAGTAGCTGGGATTACAGGAGGGTGCCACCACACTTGGCTAATTTTTGTATTTTTAGTAGAGACAGGATTTCACCATGTTGGCCAGGCTGGTCTTGAACTCCTGACCTCAAATGATCCACTCACCTTGGCCTCCCAAAGTGCTGGGATTACAGGTGTGAGCCACCGCGCCAGGCCCATCCTGGGGGTTTTGACAAGTGTTTAATAATGTGTATCTACTGTTGTAGAATCATACAGAATAGTTTTGCTGCCTTAAAAATCCCCTGCACTCCACCTTTTCATTCCTCTCTGCCCCAGTGAAATAATTTTAAAATAAACCTTGCTACCTAGAGGTTTCTCTCACAAATGGAAAAGTCCATGTGAGCTGGAATTCATTCTAACCATGTAGATTAAAAGAAAATATCAAATTCATTAGCTCAAAATGGTTTCTCTTCATTCTGTCTGCATGATGTGCTTTCAAGAGAAAAAGAACTGATGGGTCATTGTGCCCGGTTATCTTATAAAACATTAATGATTATCGACTTAATATTCTGACCAAAATTATGAACCAGGAAAGTGAGATTTTAAATCTTGCAGCAATCCAGATGGCATAAGCTAAATCACAGATAAGAAAAATCTCTGTAGCACTGTCAAGGTTATGGAAGAAAATTAAGATACAATGACTGCTGTAGACTATTTGCGTGCCCCCCCAAAATGTATGCATACTAAAATGATGGTATTTAGAAGTGGGGCCTTTGGGAGGTGATTAAGTCATGAGGGTTGAGCTCTCATGAATGGGATTAGTGCCCTTATAAAAGAGACTGCAGAGAGCTCCTTCGTCTCTTCTCCATATGAGGACCCAGAGAGAAGATGGCAGTCTATGAACCAGGAAGTGGGCCTTCACCAGACACAGAATCTGGCACGTTGATCTTGGACTCCCGGCCTCCAGAACTGTGAGAAATAAATATTTGTTGTTTAAGCTATGTGGTCTGTGGTATTTCTGTTATAGCAGCCCAGACAGAAGGACAGTGATTTTCCTTAGGTGTCTTTGGTATAGCACCCTACAGCCATGACTTCCCGCATCATTCTATGCGGTCACCTCTGAAGTGCTTCTGACCAGAATTGGCTTAGGATTCTCTACACCTCAGCCTGCTGCATAAGGTATCTATGCCACCTGCATTTCCCCATGTAAAAAACATAGCTCTGATATCATGTTTTGAGTGACAGTTAAAAAATCCCCTTACTGTCCTGAAAAGTTGCATACAATTCTTAATCCTTTTTTTTTTTTTTTTGAGACAGAGTCTCACTCTGTTGCCCCAGCTGGAGTGCAGTGTGCAATCTTGGCTCACTGCAACCTCCATCTCCTGGGTTCAAATGATTCTTCTGCCTCAGCCTCCTGAGTAGCTGGGATTACAGGCACGCGCCATCACGCCCGGCTAAATTTTGTATTTTTAGCAGAGACAGGGTTTCACCATGTTGATCAGGCTGGTCTCAAACTCCTGACCTCATGATCTGCCTGCTTCGGCCTCCCAAGGTGCTGGGATTACAGGCATGAGCCACCACACCCGGCCCTTTCTTAATCATTTTTTAATGGAAACCTACTAATGTGTTCTTGTTTGTTAATTTCTATGATGTGGAGGAATAGACACTCCCCTGCCACTAGAGATAAGTAAAGGGTAGACAACCACTTCGCAGGGATGTTATAGGGGTTTTAGGCATCAAAATGAATGACTGGGCCACATAGGTTTTAAGAGTTTTTCAACCTCGACTTTCTTGATTCCACCTAAAAAATGGAGCTGTACTGAGCTTTTTTCCAACCAACCAACAAACGAAAGCACTTTTTCTAACCTATTTGAAACATTTTAGAATAATCCCATTTTATTTTTAGTATGAACATAGGTGTCAGCAACTCAGTAAGTGGCCCGTTGTCTTGTCCTCCCACATTCAATAGTTTGAACTGGATTGAGTGAATGGGACCATCAGTAGTCACAGTCTTCACAGTCACGAAGTAAACTAGACTAGATTACATATAATAATGCCCAGAAAACGGGAATGTAGTATACTTAAAAAAAAAAAATAGCAAGTGAACGGGCGTTGTGGCTCAAGCCAGTAATCCCAGCACTTTGGGAGGCTGAGGCGGGCGGTTCACTTGAGGTCAGGAGTTTGAGACCTAGCCTGACTAACAGAGTAAAACCTCCTCTCTACTAAAAATATAAAAAATTAGCTGGGCATGGTGGTGCGTGCCTGTAATCCCAGCTACTTGGGAGGCTGAGGCAGGAGAGTTGCCTGAACCCGGCAGGCAGAGACTGCAGTGAGCTGAGATCGCACCACTGCACTCCAGCCTGGGTGACAGAGTGAAACTGTCTCAAAAAAAAAAAAAAAAAAGTAAGAAAAACTTTCTGACTCAAAGATTGAAGCTCAAAACTAACAAAAGCTGGTGTTGAGATGAAGGGAGCTAGTTATTGTGGGGTTATTTTAATATAATTGATTACTAAAGAAATATTTTAAAGTATCTGGATATTAGTGTCATAAATAACTATTTGGGAGAAACGTCATTGGACTGTCCTGGGATATCAGTACACCATTTCTTCCAACATTCATAGCACCAGCATTAGCAACATTAGGACTTTGCAGATTTTGAAGACAATCTTTTCATCCCAGAGTGAGTGTCTCATCCATCACTGTCATTATGTTTAAAATATAAGTATGTTGGCTGGGCACACTGGCTCATGCCTGTAATCCTAGCACTTTGGGAGGCCAAGGAGGGCAAATCACCTGAGGTCAGGAGTTCGAGACCAGCCTGGCCAACATGGTGAAATCTGTCTCTACTAAAATTACAAAAATTAGCCAGGTGTGGTGGCGGGCACCCGTAATCCCAGCTACTCGGGAGGCTGAGGCAGGAGAATCACTTGAACCCTGAAGGTGGAGATTGCAGTGAGCCGAGACCGCATCACTGCATTCCAGCCTGGGCTACAAGAGCGAAACTCTGTATCAAAAAAAAAAAAAAAGAAAAAGAAAAGGAAAGAAAATAATATGCTGTACTATATTTGCCACTTTTATAGGATTTTCTGTGTTGCGAATGAGCATTTGAATCAATTTTTCCTTTTTAAATTAAAAAAAGAAAAACAAACTGAGACTTGTTTTAAATGAGTCCTTCCCATCCCCCCCAATTTTTTCTTCTTCTTCCACATGGATTCTCATCTGTAAGTACTTCCTATGCTGAAAGGCAAAACTGGTACATGTCTCTCTTCTACTTTCTATGACCCATCAAGAAAAGTTTTTTTTTTTTTTTTTTTTTTGAGACAGAGTTTGGCTCTTGTTGTCCAGGCTGGAGTGCAATGGCTCGATCTCCGCTCACCGCAACCTCTGCTTCCCGAGTTCAAGTGATTCTCCTGCCTCAGCCTCCTGAGTAGCTGGAATTACAGGCATGCACCACCATGCCCAGCTAATTTTTTGTATTTTTAGTAAAGATGGGATTTCTCCATATTGGTCAGGCTGATCTTGAACTCCCGACCTCAGGTGATCTGCCTTGGCCTCCCAAAGTGCTGGGATTACAGGCCTGAGCTACTGCACCTGGCCAGGAAAGAATTTTTTATGAAGACGTAATCCTTCAGTTGAGGGTTCAAGTATGAGGCAATGGTCTTTGATTTTCCTTCCTTCAGATCAATCAAAATTTTTAAAGTGAATAAAATGACCATAAGTCAATTAGGGTAATATTATTTACATACTTTTTTAAAAAATAAAAGTTGAGGCTGGGCATAGTGGCTAATACCTGTACTCTCAGTGCTGTGGGAGGCTGAGGCAGGAAGATCACTTGAGCCCAGGAGCTAGAGACCAGCCTGGGCAATATAGCAAGACTGCGTCTCTACAAAATTTTGAAAATTAGCCGCGTGTGATGGTACGTGCCTATAGCCAAGCGACTCAGGAGGCTGAAGTGGGAGGACTGCTTGAGCCCAGAGGTTCATGGCTGCAGTGAGCCATGATCACACCACTGAACTCCAGCCTGGGTGACAGAGCAAAACCCTGTCTCAAAAAATAAATAAAAAATTGTTAAAAGTTGAACGATGATTAAAAACTACATATGGCATTTGTATGCATGTGGATAAGATCTGGTTAGAAAACATGGACAAATGAAATCAGTTTGATATGCTTGCAAAAATGTGGGTACATTTTAAATGTTTATTTAAATGTACATTTGTTGGAGGCACAAATGTTTCTTATGATTAGGCATAATTGAAGCCTGTCAGTAACAATATGAACAATTAAGCAGCTGACCAATCATTACCTCCTCCTCCCTGCTCCTGTTACCCAATAAATAGGAAGAGCTGTAGAAGCTTGGGGGACTGTCTTTACTCACTAGAAGCAGGGAGCTCTCTTCTTCTTCCTCATGCTAGTCTTTCCTTAAAATAGTTACTTTTGTTTTAAGTTATCATTTCTACGTTCGTCTCTTCGTTCAGTCGTAACGATGGTCTCAAGCAGTAACAGTAGTAATTGCTCTAGTGACGGTCTCAAGTAGCAGTAGTGGCAGTCAGCCACATACATTTATATAGCTACCTTATCTGTGACGTAAAGTTAGTGATGACACTGAATATCTACAGCGAGAGATAAAGATAGGATGGGAACAGGTATGCATGTGTATATGTGTGACCAAATGTTTTCAAACTGAGTTATCTTTTAAGTATTATATCTATATGCCCTTTGCCTGTTCTTAAAACTTTACTACCAACTCTCTAGGAAACAGTCCTAAGTTCAGATTTTCAGAACTTGGGAAGTCTCTGGAAAAGATTTATTAAAGTGGCAATTTGATAAGACTTACTAAAGGGACTTAAGGAACGCTAGTCCTGATAATGCTTAGTGTCTACTGGGATTTTTCTTTTCATGGGAAGTTGGGCCCTTTGGGGAAAGTAGAAAGAAGACTTTGTTCAGTAAAAGAAAAGAACAGTGATGCTACTTACTGGTAACCCGTCTATAGGAAACCAAACTTACAGTCCTTTTTCTACCACCAAGTGACTCGAGTCAAGTCATCTAACCTTTCTTTTTAGATATCCTCATCTGTAAAGTGAGTGCAATAATTCTTGCCTTCCTTAAGCCTTATAAAGCTGATGTACAAGTAAAATGAAATAATAGCATTTGGTGGTACTGACTCCTTGCTATTTCCAGGCAATTTTCCTTTCATTTCAAGGTTCATCCAAGCTTCACTGGATGATCCAACTTCATAATAAAAGGACTATAAATGGAACCATAGTTTGGATTGTGAATTGCAAAAATAAACCCAGATGTCAAAACCTTAATGTCCACGAAGGCAAGGACAGGGTCTATTTGGTCACAACTGAATGCTCAGCCCCAGGCCAGGAGACTAACACATAAGTAGTCAGTTTACAGATATTTGTCAAATGGACATGCAGATTGGCCTGCATGGTTATCTCTATGGAGAAACTAGCTCTGAGAAAGTAGCCCATGCTTAGGGTATGAATGCAGTACTAAATATTCTTTTTTGTTTATTTTTAGACAGAGTCTTGCACTGTCGCTCGGGCTGGAGTGCAATGGCACAAACTCGGCTCACTGCAACCTCTGCCTCCGGGGTTCGTGCGATTCTCCGGCCTCAGCCTCCTGAGTAGTTGGGATTACAGGCGACACCACCACACCTGGCTAATTTTTTGTATTTTTAGTAGAGATGGGGTTTCACTATGTTGGCCAGACTGGTCTCGAACTCCTGACCTCGTGATCCGCCTGCCTTGGCCTCCCAAAGTGCTGTGATTACAGGCGTGAGCCACCCCACGCGGCCGGAAAGTTGTTTGTTCTTTTTCTTTTCTTTTTTTTTTTTTGGGTGCCATCTCAGCTCACTGCAACCTCTGCCTCCTGGGTTCAAGCGATTCTCCTGCCCCAGCCTCCGGAGTAGCTGGGACTACAGGCACGTACCACCACGCCCAGCTAATTTTTGTATTAGTAGAGACGGGGTTTCATCATGTTGGCCAGGGTGGTCTCGATCTCTTGACCTCGTGATCTGCCTGCCTTGGCCTCCCAAAGTGCTGGGATTACAGGCGTGAGCCCCTGTACCCACGCAGTGTTCAATATTCTACGAGCTGTAGAAGGCAGCCGGACAGGGAGGGATTTGGAAAGTATATACTAATGGCTCTCTACTTGCTTGCTTAAGCAGTATTCTATGTTGTCTTTGAAGTCTACATATCCATAAATGTGGATATGAATGTGGGTAGAGATTATTCAAAACAGCAATATGTTACTTGATTTGCTACATAGAATTAAGGAAATCATTGGCTCTTCAAATGTTACAGGTAGGTAGTTCACAGACAGCATTAACAGTAATATCAGTTAAAGTGTTTGCTGGATGAACTGTGGTCTTTGTTGTTGTGTTTGTAGTGAGGACAGCTCCCTAGAAGACTCAGACCCAAGTAATCTTGGTTATAAGTTCCTTTGGATAGATCACTGTTCTTGGTTCATTCAGTTCTGGTTATAGGTCCTCATGACAATTCTCTCTCTTTAATAGATTATATAGCTACATCATAAAAGATGGGCTGAATGAACCTCCTTATAATGATTTAAAATTTTTCATTTCTGGGTCATTTCGTAAAAAGTTCTTTCTCTCTCTCAGGAGCCAGACACAAATATGTAGTACCCTTGAAGCAAATATTCCCTCCACCTGAGAAGAAAAGGGGAAAAATGGGAATGAGGAAAAGGAATGATTACACTTCAAAATTTGAACAAAATCTGATCCTGGCATTGATTGTTCTGAGCTGAGCCTTGCCAGAAGGCCTGGGAACTCTACTACCCGCTGCTGTCTTGAATGCAGGCTTATAAACAGCTAGATTCTATGATGGCTTACAACAATTTATTCAACCAAAAATTACGGTAATTTAAAATAGAGGACGGGCGGGGTGGCCCATACCTGTAATCTCAGCACTTTGGAAGGCCGAGGCAGGCGGACCACTTGAGGTCAGGAGTTCAAGACCAGCCTGGCCAACATGGCGAAACTCCATCTCTACTAAAAATACAAAAATTAGCCGGGTGTCATGGCGTATGCCTGTATTCCCAGCTACTCGGGAGGCTGAGGCAGAAGAATCGTTTGAACCTGGGAGCCGGAGGTTGCAGTGAGCCGAAATCGTGCCACTGCACTCCAGCCTGGGTGACAGAGTGAGACTTCATCTCAATAAATAAATAAATAATAAAATAGGGATACTGTACAAAAAAAAAAAAAACAAAAACCTGTTAGTTTGAAGCCTTCTGTTCCTTCATCATTTACTCTTATTTTTCATAAGTCCATCTATGAGGTTTAGAAATTTCATATTTGTATTTTTTCCTAACCAATATTTGCTGAGGGTTAACAAATTTTCACCCACAAAGAAGTTCTCTGTTAAAAAACACTGGTTCAATTTTAAAATTGTAATAGTTGCCCAGATAAGAACTAATTTAATAATTATATTGGACCAATGTTCTATATTTGTTGAAGCAGCTTGTGTTATTTTTACAGCTTTAAGAGAATTTGTTTTACCTAAGAAGAATGGATTATCATTTTATTGTTAGTTTAAGTTGCAATATAACCCTTCAGTCCCTGGCAACACGGAAATTACTTTTTAATGCCTCGTTTTCCAAATAAATACATCCAAATAATTTCACATTTAAATCATAATTTCAGGCTGGGCGTGGTGGCTCACACCTGTAATCCCAGCACTTTGGGAGGCCAAGGCGGGTGGATCACTTCAGGCCAGAAGTTCAAGACCAGCCTGGCCACCATGGCAAAACCCGTCTCTACTAAAAATACAAAAAATTAGCTGGGTGTGGTGCATGCCTGTAGTCCCAGTTACTCAGGAGGCTGAGCCAGGAGAGTCACATGAACCCGGGAGGTGAGGGTTGCAGTGAGCCGAGATCACGCCACTGTACTCCAGCCTGGGCAACAGAGCAAGACTCTCTCAAGACAAAAACAAAAACAAAAAACCCATAATTTTAAAATCGCTACTCCTTTTTGTATAGCATTTCTCAAAATCACACACACACATATATGCACCATGGATACATTATAGTTCCCATGTGTACATGGATACATGTGGTTTCTTTGATATTCCTAGAAAAGACTCTCTCTGATGGAAATACCAGATCCTTTTGTAGCTCATAAGCATGATGATTGAGGTTTCACACACATTAATGAAATGTGCCTCCCTCAGACTGATAGGGACAGGAGGCAGGGAAATTCTGGGCAGAAGAGAGTGGGTCCCTGGCCAGGGCCCCTCCCTTAAGCCTGGAACTGCAGCCCAAAGTGAGAACTGACATCTCTGTTTTCCCACTCAAATGTTGCCTTTTCCAAAACCACCCATGGCCCGTTCCACCCCCAATCCTGTGCCTATAAAAACCCCAGACTCTGTGGGCAGAGAAGAGGAGAAGCAGCTGGATGTCGCAGACTACGGCTGAACATCAGACAGAAGTGGCTTAACTTCAGAGGGACAGCTTGACCGTATAGCTTTGGAGAGGCGTCTAGCTGAGGGCGGCCAGACTCTGGGGGAAGATTACCTTCCTGCTCCATCCCCTTTTCAGCTCCCCTTCCTGCTGAGAGCTGCTTTCATCGGCAATAAAATCCCCTGCATTTACCATCTCCAATTTGTTTGTGTGACCTCATTCCTTCTGGATGCTGGACAAGAACTCAGGTATGGGTGTGAAAGGCTGTCACACTGACGCTCCGCCGAGCTGTTAACACTTAAGCTGTCTGTGGAGAGCAAAGCTAAAAGAGCACTGACTGTAACACTCCTTCTGGGGCTTCAGGGGTTGTGGGCACACCCCTAGAGGCTGCCATGGGGCAGTATAAAGTTCGTTCCTGCCGGCGCCCAAAAGCAGTCACCCTGGCTCCAGCACCTGCTCACCTGCATGCTCCCTCCTGGGAGAGGTTGAGTGCAGTGGGTTCAAGTGAGTGGAGTTCACCCCTGCTGGCGTGGAAGTAGCCAGCTAGTTCCAGCAGCTGCACTCCAGTTCCTGCTCACGAAGGGGTCAGGGAAACTTGCTGATTCAAAACTTTGTTTCTACATCAGCACATTACCCACCTGACATTAAAAAATATATATACTGAAGAAAAGAGCATACGAATTTAATATTAATCTATTGGAAACATTCTTTCTGCTTTCATGCCCATTTTTACACCTGTGGAAATGGAGGTGGGAGAAATCATCACAGGAGGAGGCCCTGGGACAACAGCCAAGCCAATTCGTTAGGAAACAAACAAAGCTAGTCCCGGCACCTGGGTTCTTCCCTCTCCCTCTTCTGGGCCTGGAGTGAGAAGTGGGAGGGGATCTGCCTCTAGGCTGGAGTTGTAAGGGTGGGCAGCACATCCTGCTTCTCCCTCATTCCAACTAGAAATTGGCCAGGACATAAGTCTCTGTTGCCTCTGTAGACTCTGACCACCCCTCTCCCAAGAAGGAGTACAAATAAGGGCAACAGACACTGTAGAGGGACTCTGATCCTGAATGATAAGCCCATGGTCTAAACTTACCAAATACCTGGGGCAAGCCGACACTGGAGAACAGAAAATAAAGGGAATTACTTACTCAGGAGAAAAGAGAGTTAATAGAGCAAACAAGGCAGGGCTTTATATATTTAAAAAGTATATAGTCTCCAAATTTAAGAGAATACATTACTTACATGAAAGGCTATTACGTATTTTTAAAACATTTAGGGATCTTGGAAATGAAATGCCTAGTTGTTCAAAAATCATTTTCGGCCAACAGATGAATACATCCACTAAATATGGTATACAATGGAATATTTTTCAGGCTTAAAAAGGAAAGAATTTCTTTCTTCTTCTTTTTTTTTTTTTTTTTTTTTTTTTTTTTTTGAGACAGTGTCTTGCTCTGTCACCCAGGCTAGAGTGCAGTGGTGCTACCACTCCCAGCTAATTTTTATTTTTTTATTTTTTGTAGAGACAGGATTGCTGTATTTCCCAGGCTGGTCTCCAACTCCTGGGCTCAAGTAATCCTCCTGCCTTGGCCTCCCGAAGTGCTGGGATTATAGGCGTGAGCCACTGCACCGGGCCAAGGAAAGAGATTCTGAAGTATGCCACAACATGGATAAACCTGGAGGACATTATGCTAAGTTAAATAAGGCAGACACAAAAGGACAAATATTGTATGATTCCACTTATATGAGATACCTAGAATAGGCAAACACATAGAGACAGAAAGTGTAACAAAGATTAGCTGTGGCTGGGAAGAGAAAGGAGTGGGGAGTTATTGTTTTGGGTGCAGAGTTTCTGTTTGAGATGATAAAAGGTTCTGGGAATGAATAGTGGTGATGGTTGCACAATAGTATGAATGTACTTAATGCCACTGAATTGTACACTTAAAATAGTTAAAATGATACATTTTATGTTATGCATATTTTACCACAATTAAAAAAAAATCACTTTGGGGCCTGGCGTGGTGGCTCACACCTGTAATCCCAGCACCTTGGGAGGATGAGACGGGAAGATCCCTTGAGGCCAGGAGTTCAAGACCAGCCTGGTCAAATAGTAAGACCCCATTTCTATAAAAAGGAGAAGAAGAAGGATAAGGAGAAGGAGAAGGAAGAAGAAGTTTTACATAGAAGAATGAGAATAGCAGCTGAAGAATTTCACCCCAAAGTTAAGAGGCAAAGTGGATACAACTAAAAGTTCTAATACTGGGGCTCATGCATTTCATTGACTTCATTGTCCTCCTGCCTCATCAACTTCTCCCCCAGAGAAATTACGTTAAGGGGCCTAATTCAGTCCCACCCCCATCCCAACTTATACCCAGCAATAGGTTCCAGCCAGCAGCACTGGCCCTGCTGGGTGCCTGGACTGGAGCCTGGGCTTGTGCCTTGGCCAACACATGTGCCTCCAAGGAGCGCTCTAAGAAGCCCAGACCCAACAGCAGCCCCTCAGCACCCCCTGCAGTCTCCAGTAAGATGTGGACATCTGCACGGCTCAGGCTGTCCCCATCTAGAGCACAGGTCTCAGAAAATGAAAGACAAGAATTAGTCGATTACTCCAAAGCACATGAAAAATCCCCCTCCAACTGCTAGTAGCCCTCGGTGAAGGCCCCAAAGCTCAATGCCCTCACTTCCTCCTTCATGCCCAAACCTGCTTCTTTGCCCTGGGCCAGGGCCCTGCAGTGGCTTGTCTTGCACTGTGGTGTTTGGAGTCTTGTCTTGGGTCTCCAGGTCACCCAGTGGAGTATGCAATGTAGCAACCAGAGGAAGCAGCCCTGGGTAGTAAGCAGGGGCAGGAGCTTAGCCTCCAGGGTAGCCCATGACCTTGGGGCTCAAAAAGGGTGAGAATCAAGCAGCCTTTAAAGCAAAGCAAGAGGGAGAGGCAGGCCGAATGTGACTCTCCCCTCAGCCTGCGAAAGCAGTCACAGCCTACTCACCTAAACGTGCCCAGATTTACCTGTCCACAGAGTCTGACTGCCCCACTGAAACGCTAGTTACCACCTGTTATTAATGGACTCCAGAGGCCTGAGTGAACCTGCTTCGTGAGAAGCCTAGTCCCAGGCCTGGTTAAACCCAGCAAGTGCAGGTTGTCCACAGCTTTTACTGCTTTGAACTGATTTGGGGGAGAAGTACCTTTCTGTATCAACCCAATAAAATGATCCTTTTATTCCACTTTCCTCCTTTATTTATTAAATGCAGTTGTGCAGTTGAAGGTGCACTGTGCGGGCTGTCAATCTCAGTAAGAGCTAACGTCTGAGCGTTTCCTCTGTGCCAGGCTTTATGGCGAAGGCTTTTCATGGATCACATCCTCAGAACAACAGTGTGATGAAGCAAGGGCTGCTCTCCCTTTTATTTTAGACATGAGGAAACTGAAGCTCAGAAATAGTTCACAATACCCTAAACTAACAGGCAACAACAGGCAATGTAGGATATGGCTCCATAGAATTCGATTCCAGGGACCTGGGCCCATCCACTGATGTATATGGGCTTGGAGTCTAGTTTTCATTCTGTTGCTAACTCACTGGGTGACATTGTGCAAGTCAGTCATCTGTCACGGCCTTGGTTTCCTTATCTGTAAATAAATTATCACATTAAGCTGCTTTTAGCTGAGGTTTTATGACTATTACTGAGCACCTGCTGTTTAGAAGGCCTTCGCTGATAGAGAGATGTCGAACTGCTGTAAGTGTTTTTGGGTGAACTTTTTGCTGTACATTAATTTTGCAAGGCCATTCAGCTCAGGAGTCCTCTTTCAATTTCTAGGCTTTACTGACGGTTTATTACCCAGTCTCAAATTTATTCTACCGCATCCCCAAACAAGCACCAAGTGAAAAGCTTTTCATTTTCTCCACTAAAAGAACAAAACTTTTAATTAATATTTGGAATCCACTGTCTCTGGAGAGACTCTTTTACCCCCGCCCTCTGGGTTATAGGACCTATACCAGCTTTGCCTTATTAACGTTCATCTATTGACTTGAACCTGCTTTCCTCTTTAGAGAATCAGTCTTGATCATTTAGAAGGCTATTGACCTAAAATTACCTCCATTGATTTCTATAATATACTGGATTCAGATGCAACCAGGATTTGCAGCAAAACATGGTTATATATAAACTTATATTGAACTTATAAGTTACATTGAACAGGCTGGTGCAGTGGCTCACTCTTGTAATCCCAGCACTTTGGGAGGCCAAGACAGGTGGATCATATGAGGCCAGGAGTTCGAAACCATCCTGGCCAACATGGTGAAACCCCATCTCTACTAAAAACACAAAAATTAGTCAGGCTTGGTGGTAGGTGCCTGTAGTGCCAGCTACTCAGGAGGCTGAGGCAGGAGAATTGCTTGAGCCCGGGAGGTGGACATTGCAGTGAGCAGAGATCGTGCCATTGCATTCCAGCCTGGGCGACAGAGCGTGATTCCATCTCAAAAGAAAACAAAAAAAAGGTATATTGAACAATCAGACAAGCCTAACATAGAACAATCAGATAAACCCAACATCATATAAGAACATTTGTGGTGGAGTGAAAGGACCAGAATACTATAATACTATGTTTCGAAGTAGACAAACTGGAGTTCAAATGTCAGCACCTACTCTTTTTTTTTTTTTAGTTAGTGTGACTTTAGATAAGCCAATTAGCTTCTCTGAGCGCTAGTTTCCTCAGCTCTTCAAAGTAATATTTTCCCCATAATAACAAACAACTATATGGTGCCCTGTTCTAAGTATTAACTTGTTCAATCCTCAGAACAACCACCGAGGTAGATATTTTATTATCCCCAATTTTACAGACGGGTTATGCAACTTGCCTAAGCTCAGTTACTAAGCGGTGGAGACAGAATCTGAGCCAGGCAGTTGGCTCCAGGGGTCATGTTCTTAAACATAGCAGAACCGTAACTGACTTAGTAGTGTATATAGTACCAACTCCCAACTCCCAATCCTGACATTCATATTCCAGGCTCCTAGCAATCTGTCATTGAAGGAATCAAGTACTGTACTATATATACAATATATGGAAGGAGAGCTGAGTAAGGTAAGTATCTCACAACTTTTATGCTCTTAAATCCCTGGAAGAAGTAGCAGCAGGATTTCCCATGATTTTATTAACTCAGAAGATTGACTTGTGACTTCTGGGCAAGGACAGGGCCTCTGCTTGTTCTGAAAATGTTGACAGAGCTGAATATTGGCTTTGAACTTCATCTTCAGGCCTAGCTCATAGAAACGTTTCTCAGGCAAAGCTTGATCAGGGATAGTTCACCAAGAATAAAGGTGAGAATTCCTTGTGTCATTAGCTCTAGGTTAGGCTGAGAAGAGGGCAACTGGTATTTTTTTTTTTTTTTTGAGACGAAGTCTCGCTCTGTCACCCAGGCTGGAGTGCAGTGGCACCATCTCAGCTCACTACAACCTCCACCTCCTGGGTTCAAGTGATTCTCCTGCCTCAGCCTCCTGAGTAGCTGAGATTACAGGCACCCACCACCACACCTGGCTAATTTTTGTATTTTTAGTAGAGACGAGGTTTGACATGTTGGCCAGGCTGATCTCAAACTCCTGACCTCAGGTGATCCACCCACCTTGGCCTCCCAAAGTGCTGGGATTACAGGCATAAGCCACCATGCTGGGCCAGAAGAGGGCAACTTTTGTCTTCAAGATTCTTCAACTTCCTTTGGGAAATGTCCTATCCTTAGGGTTTCAAACTGGTGGTCTGAAATTCGTGGCACCATATGACGCAAAACCATCCTGTTTGGCTTGCAAAGTGTTGACGTACAGATTTTGCTTAAATTGAATTAGTTATTAACATTTAACAAGAAGGGCAGTTCACATTTATATTCAAGCTGCTGGCCCATTGAAAAATCTGAAGGAGCCAGGCACAGTGGCTCTAGCTTGTATTTCCAACATGTTGGGAGGCCAAGGCGGGAGGATTGCTTGAGGCCAGAAGCTTGAGACCAGCCTGGGCAACACAGTGAGACCCTGTGTCTATAAATAAATAAATAAAAATGGAAAGATTTTTTTAAAAAAAGAAAAATCAGAATATCTGACAACAGTCCGACGTGTCAATCATCATCTGGAGCTTAGCAGACACTGCTGCTACTGGAATGGGCATGTACCGCACTTCCCCATAGCCCCCTCACGAATGTCCTTTTCACTAATGTCCCATTTCACTAATGTCCATACCTCCTGCCTCCTAATAGCAACTGAAATGGCCACCACGACTCCTGCCTCTTGGGGCCTTTCCCTGACATCAGCCCTTTTCACCAAATGCCTAGCACTTTGCTGGTTGAAGTCTGTCCGCTTCATTAACTCAATTACAGACTCTTTCCAGGTTTTAAAAAACCCGGAAACGTAGCCTTGCTAAAATGCAAACATCTCCCTGGAGGCCGTTAAGGGAATAGGATTAATAGGATTTCAGTTGTCCAGAAGACCCACGTTATAAATGGCCTTTCAGCAGGATTTGCTTGATAATAAATCATCTTCAGGACACATATTAGAGACATTTTAAGGCTATAGTTTCTTCTTAGAGTTTTTATTTTACCAGTAGTCACTTTTGAGAAGTGACTCATTTTGAGAAATGGATAAGTCGAGATCCAGAATTATATGGATAATATAATCCAAATGTCATGTCTAAAGAAATCTGTATTGATGATCTACTTATTGCTAACTTAGTAAGGGATTGTTTCTTAAAAACTCCTAAAATAATATGTACATAAGTGAATAAAACAAAATCCTTCATAGAGAGAATTTTCTTGATGATAATTCTTCATGAAAAACTTTTCAGTCTCCAATTGTGGTCTTAGTTTTTTTTCCTAATTTGATACTTTCTAAGATAGTATCTTACTATGGAACCTTTTGTAATAGATCTACTACACAACTCATTATTTTTGACAATAGTTAAACCATATTTAATCAAGACCTCTGGAAAATGTAGAGCTATAGTCCCATATATAATGAAAGTCCGTTCAGATTTAAGTGGATACGAACCAAGAGAGCAGTATCATCAAAGCCATAATTGAGAATATCACCTCTCCCATAAGTAATCAGTAATTATAGATTTATGTTATATTTATCATCTTTTAGAGCCGGTACTGTACAGTATAAAAAGCATCACATTTTATCATTTCTCAACTAGAAATGAGAAAACATTGCTGACAATAGATGTGCTATCCAGAAAGAACAAGGAGTGTACACAGTAGTTTCAAGTCTTATATTTGCAAGCCTAGTTCTTGTTGAACTTTATTTATGACACAATTAAAATTACTTTATGTCTTTTTATTTTTATTTTCATTTATTTATTTATTTTTTGAAATGGAGTCTCGCTCTGTCAGCCAGGCTGGAGTGCAGCAGCATCATCTCGGCTCACTGCAACCTCCGTCTCCCGGGCTCAAGCAATTCTCCTGCCTCAGCCTCTAGAGTAGCTGGAATTACAGGTGTGTGCCACCACACCGGGCTAGTTTTTGTATTTTTAGTAGAGACAGAGTTTCACCATGTTGGCCAGGCTGGTCTCGAACTCCTGACCTCAGGTAATCCGCCTGCCTCAGCCTCCCAAAGTGTTGAGATTACAGGCGTGAGCCACCGTGCCCAAACTTTATGTCTTTTTAAATATTTATAGGACAACTCATAGTTTTGTTTACTTTTAATTTTCATAAAATATTTTAACTACAATTCCCTAGGAAGGCAGCCATCTACTTACGATATTTTATAGGGCACCCAAAGTTCTCTGCCATTCAACATCAGTAGGCTTTGGCAGCCTCTGAAATCACAGCTGTTGGTGACACACAATGCTGCCAACAAAATCTGCACCCTCTCTTATCTTGGTATCATTTCAATTCATGATACCATGTCTGCAAATCTACCTGGATTGCAATCTTGGTCACATCTAATTTTACTTTTTTAAAAGAAATCCCAACTCCACGTTGTCCTCATGACAGCCTCTGGCAATATTATTGGTTCAGACGTAGGATAACTGATCAAAGTTGGTCCAGTGGGTCATATGGGAAGGGCTTTCATTTTACGGCTAGGAGAGAGGTAAGTGAAGAAGTGTCTTGTTCTAGAAGCTGCTAGCAGCCATCTTGTGACCTGGAGGGACGGGAGTCTGCAGTCTTCTCTGCTACATTGCTTAAATGTTTAACCAGGGTTACTAGATCCTTATTCCTATGTTTAACCAAATCACTTCTAATTTATTTTAATCTTCTTCTTTTTTTTTTTGAGACACAGTCTCGCTCTATTTCCTAGGCTGGAGTGCAGTGGCACGATCTCGGCTCACTGCAACCTCCGCCTCCCAGGTTCAAGTGATTCTCCTGCCTCAACCTCCTGAGTAGCTGGGATTACAGGTGCCCACCACCACACCCAGCTAATTTTTGTATTTTCAGTAGAGACGGGGTTTCACCATGTTGGCCAGGATGTTCTCCATCTCCTGACCTCGTGATCCACCCGCCTCGGCCTCCCAAAGTGCTGGGATTATAGGTGTGAGCCACCGCGCCTGGCCAATTTTTGTATTTTTAGTAGAGACTGGGTTTCACCATGTTGGCCAGGCTGGTCTCGAACTCCCGACCTCAGATGATCTGCCCACCTTGGCCTCCCGAAGTGCTGGGATTACAGGCATGAGCCACTGCACCCGGCCCTAATTTATTGTAAAAGCACACTGCTCAAAGCAGAATTCTGTTTTTCTAAATTACTAAAAAGAAATAAATTTCTTTGTTATATGATATTTCGACTGCTAATCAAACACCAGTGTAAGCAATGTAACAGATCTCTTGCAATTTCATAGTATTTCTCTTTCCATAGGTAACCAAGTTTTGGCTGTCAGAGAACAAGTTTGATTAGGTTTGGGATCTTTAAAAGTCTTTTGATTATTCTTACTAATGTGTTCCGCCGCGTTTTACAGCCCCAAATAACTTATTGACCCACTGCTTCATTCTTGATCATTGCCAATTGCAGGAGAGAACTCATAGATAATGATGTTGACAGAGTCGAGGCAGACAGAGAAGGCAAATCCAAATGCAGAATGGGTATGTCCTGGGGAAGGAAAAATTGCTGCCCTTTCCAAGAAGAAAGGAGTCCAAGGTCACTGGAATACCACCTGGTAGCTGGCTGGTCACCTTGAGACAGGGTGCCAGAGTAGGTGTCCAGTGTGAATTATGGTGGCCAGAAAAAATAGAAAAATTAGGCACTCAGCAGTGAAAGCTTTGATGATGGAAAGTCCATATTAATGAGCTTTCACATAACTTGAAGCCTTGCCACTAAGAATGATATATTCACGGCCAGGCGCAGTGGCTCATGCCTGTAATCCCAGCACTTTAGGAGGCCGAGGCGGGCGGGTCACCCGAGGTCAGGAGTTTGAGACCAGCAGGGCCAACATGGCAAAACCCTGTCTCTACTAAAAATATAAAAATTAGCTGGGCATGGTGGCCACCTGTAGTCCCAGCTACTCAGGAGGCTGAGGCAGGAGAATCACTTGCACCCGAGAGGTGGAGATTGCGGTGAGCCGAGATCGTGCCACTGCACTCCAGCCCGGGCAACAGAGCTAGACTCAGTCTTAAAAAAAAAAAAAAAAAAAAAAGGATGATATATTTATGAACACACTGGGTTGGCAAAGGGAAAAAGGAGACTAACATTTAGACCTCAGGTGGTCTTGCTTCCTTATTTTAAAACTTCCTTTGCAATGGAGTCTAAATAATCTTTTTGGCCTTCTTGGGACGTAGTGAGGGGACATGGAAGAGTTTGACATACATGTGGCTCAGAGCCAGTATTTCTACCGTCCAAGTCTTGGCATTCCTTCCCCTGCATCAGGGATTCTCTACCTTGGCACTGTGGTCATTTTGGGGCATCATAGTGTTTCGTAGTACCTCTGACCTCTACCCAGTAGAAGACTGTAGCCCCCTGCCGGTTGTGACAGTCAAAACTGGCTGTGGACACTGCCCAGTTGTAAGTACCACTGCTCTACACCATCCCAAGGGGTTTCTTATCTTTACCCTGCAGTGCAGCCAACCTCATGGCCACAGGCTAAAGCAATCTCTCTCTTCTTTGAAGTTCGTTGGCAACTGTAGTCCATCACAATCTATTTACCATTCACCATTAGCTGCTGTGTATTATGAGTTGTCTTTTATGTGTGTTTGTATCATAACCTATCCAGAATGTAACATCCTTGAGGAGAGAATTCCTCATCCATGCAATAGCTCTCTATTTCTCACAGCACCTCCCCACAGTTGCCAGTACACATTAGTTGCTTGAATCATTGATAGTTTTTCAATGTTCCATTTGATGTCAAAGGATATCTCAGATGACCCTTCTAAAATTGGTGCCCTTTGTGCAAAGAGAAAATTATAAACCCTAGACTTTGACTTAGCTCTTATTAAAAGTGAAGCCATAGGGAGAGAAAAATCAGGATAGTATTTCTTTGAGATGGTAAGATTACCCATGATGCAAAGACTTTTGAGAAGGAAACTCTGAACTTGTTACCCTCGGACAGAGAAGAGGGAGAAGGCTGAAAAATATTTACTTGTCAGTCACCATAACGACACAAGGAGAAAAGAGCATTAGCCAAGTGGGGTAAAGTTCTGAACTTATTCTGATTTTTAGTATCATAAAGTTACGTTTCTGGCTAATTTTTTTTAATGAAGGGCAAAACATCCTCTTGTAATAATCAATTTTTAAGTGCAAAATTTTTTTGCCCACTCCTATGGAATTTAACCCTTAACTTTGAGTCTGAGGTTGCAAGTTTGTTGTAGGATACTGTATTTATTATATGTTTATTATAAGGAAATGCAACTTTTTAACTCATTTATTGTAAAAATTTAGCTTGCCCACCTAAGTTTTAATGTATGCAATTGGCCCTCCATATGAAGCATCTGCTGATTGAACCACCCATGATATTTGGAGGCTGCGTTGTGGTGGCTCATGCCTGTAATCCTAGCACTTTGGGAGGTCGAGGTGGGAGGATCACTTGAACCCAGGAGTTCGAGACCAACTTGGGCAATATAACAAGACCTTGATTCTACAAAAATTTAAAATATTAGCCGGGCATGGTGGTGTGCACCTGTAGTTTTGGCTACTTGGGAGGCTGAGATGGGAGGATTGTCTGAGCATGGGAAGTCGAGACTGCAGTAAGCCTTGTTAGTGCCACTGCACTCCAACTTGGGTGACGGAGTGAGACCCTGTCTCAAAAAAACCCGTAATTTTGGGTGGCGGGAGGCGGGGAAACAAGGATGGCTGTGTTGTACTGACCATTTACAGACTTTTTTTTCTTATCATTATTCCCTAAACAATACAGAATAACAGCTATTTACATAGCATTTACATTGATTAGGTACTATAAGTAATCTAGAGATGATTTAAAGTATATGGGTAGATATGCATAGGTTATATGCAAATACTATACTGTTTTATATAAGGGACTTGAGCATCTGTGGATTTTGATATCCATGGAGGGTACTGGAACCGATTCCCCATGGATACGCAAGAACAACGGAACACCATCTCTATGATTAGTTCACCACCTATGGCCTTATAACATTCTGCTATAACTTCACCAGTATATATGTAGCACAAATCCATTTTCTAGGCAGAAAGCACTAAGACACTTTGTCTTTACAATCTTTCTCATGCCTGTTTAGGAAAAATACATTTTATGATTTTAACAGACATATTTCTAAGTAAAATATGATTCTTGTTTCTCCAATATCTTGAATATTTCTTTTAAATGACTTAAATATGGCATTTCTGGAAAAGGCAGCAAGATGGAAAGTGATCTTTCACTAAGAAAGGATATTATAGGCTAGGCTTAGTGGCTTACACTCATAATCCTAGCACTTTGGGAGGCCGAGGCAGGTGGTCACCTGAGGTCAGGTGTTCGAGACCAGCCTGGCCAACATGGTGAAACCCTTCTCTACTAAAAATACAAAAATAAACTGGGCATGGTGGCACACGCCTGTAATCCCAGCTACTTGGGAGGCTGAGGCAGGAGAATCACTTGAACCCGGGAGACGGAGGTTGCAGTAAGCCAAGACCATGCCACTGTACTCCAGCCTGGGTGACAGAGCCAGACTCCATCTCACCAAAAAAAAAAAAAAAAAAAAGGAGGACATTATAGCTTCTTCCAAAAAGGTCATCAGCATCAAAACATCTTAATGCTTATCCCATGTGTGGTACCAGTGCATGGGATCCCATCAGCTCCAGGTTTTCGCTGAAGCACTATTTTAAATGACTGACAATATATTTTGGTAACAAAGCTTTCAGAGCAGCTAGTAAGATTACTATAATGCATAAGAGAGTGTGTGAATTAAATTGCACTAAGGGTTTGCATTTCCATGACACTAGCAAATGTATTACCATTCTACCATGACTGTGTTTTGGTTGACTTGTCACTTTACTGAATGAGGAAACCACTGGGGAACAGTTCTATTTCAATGTAAAGGTGTTAGCATAAAAATGTAATAACATAATTTGCATTTTAATAGCCAAGCGAACTTCTATTAATAAAGCAGCTGGATATTGGTGTTTACAAATACTGTAATGGTGTCCTGGGGAGAATAGTGATTCATTTCTTGGATTTATATGAGTGAATTTTTGTTTGACCTTAGATTTTCTGGCCTTTTCTGAGGACACTCCTCTTTCTTTTGAAAAATGAAAGGAACAAAAAGTTACCAAAGTTAAAGAAATCCTTTTCCCCTGAAATATTTCTTGAGTCTAAAACTTTCTTCACTTTACTGTATGACATTAAAAAAAAAAACATGGAATAACTCAAAATCATTAAAGGCTCTGAGTTTGTGGAATGAGAAATGTTGTCTGGAAAAATACCTTTTGATTATTTTATTTTTATTTTTCAAGACAAGGTCTTGTTCTGTCACCCAGGCTAGAGTACTCGATTACAGCTCACTGCATCCTCGACCTCCCAGACTCGAGGGATCCTCCTGTCAGAGGCATGTGAACCAGAGCAACTCCATCTTGAATGGGGCTGGGTAAAATGAGGCTGAAACCTACTGGGCTGCATTCCCAGATGGTTAAGGTAGTCTAACTTGCAGGATGAGATAGGAGGCTGGCACAAGATACAGGTCATAAAGACCTTGCTGATAAAACAGTTTGCAGTACAGAAGCCGGCTAAAACCCACCAAAACTAAGATGGCCACGAGAGTGACCTCTGGTCATCCTCACTGCTACACTCCCACCAGCTCCATGACAGTTTATGGATGCCTTGGCAATGTCAGGAAGTTACCCTATATGGTCTAGAAAGGGGAGGCATGAATAATGCACCCCTTGTTTAGCATGTCATCAAGAAATAACCATAAAAATGGGCAACCAGCTGCCCTCGGGGGCTGCTCTGTTTATGGAATAGCCATTCTCTTATTCCTTTACTTTCTCAATAAACTTGCTTTTGCTTTACTCTGTGGACTTGCCCTGAATTCTTTCTTGCTCGAGATCCAAGAACCCTCTCTTTGGGTCTGGATCGAGATCCCTCTCCTGCACACTCCCACCTGAACCTACCAAGTAGCTGGGATCACAGGCACACACCTGGCTAATTTTTAAATTTTATTTTTGAAGAGATGGGATCTCCTTATGTTTCCCAGGCTGGTCTCAGACTCCTAGGCTCAAGGGATCCTCTCACCTCAGCCTCTCAAAATGCTGAGATCACAGGTGTGAGCTGCAGCACCTGGCAAGAGAAAGACCTTTTTATAACAACCGACATGGCTGGGCGCGGTGGCTCACTCCTGTGATCCCAGCACTTTGGGAGGCTGAGCCAGGTGGATCACCTGAGGTCAGGTGAGACCAGCCTGGCCAACCTGGTGAAAACCTGTCTCTACTGAAAAAAAACCAAAACAAAAATGAGCCAGGCATGGTGACGCACAACTGTAAGCCCCGCTACTTGGGAGGCTGAAGCAAGAGAATCGCTTGAACCTGGGAGGCGGAGGTTGCAGTGAGCCGTAATTGTGCCGTTGCACTCCAGCCTGGGTGACAAGAATGAAACTCCTTCTATAGTAAATAAATAAATAAATAAATAAATAAATAAATAAATAAATAAAATGACTAACATATTGTACTAGACTACAGTTTAATGTGCTAGACATGTTTAGGAGGCTCTAATATTCAAAACATGGGTAAAAGTCATGCCATAATTCTGCACCATTTCTTCACACACTAACTTCTAACTGCAAATCGCAGGGCGCAGTGGCTCACGCCTGTAATCCCAGCACTTCGGGAGGCCGAGGCGGGAGGATTGCTTGAGCTCAGAAATCCCATCTCTACAAGAAATACAAAAATTAGTCAGGTGTGGTGGCACATGCCTGTGGTCCCAGCTACTAGAGAAGCTGAGATGGGATTGAAATTGCCTTTGCAAAAATTGTAACTGAGAAAATTATGACAGTGAAAGAGATCTGACCTAACCGACTCCATCTTGCTTCTAACCTCAAAGCTGCCCTTGCTCATTCCTGGGGTGAGGCTGAACTAACTTTGGGAGGAACTTAGTTTTATAGTTTAACTTTGAAACAAAGATGATCACAGCCCTTTCCCAAAACAAACCCTCTTCCTGCCTGGGGACTAGACTACCTCTGTAGGACTAACAAATCAGCCACGAGATTAGACATTATGGTCTGGGAGTCATGCAGCTGGAGGCTGCAAGATTCTGAACTTCCCCAGATTGTTACTGAGGATAACATCACTGTTGTAAAACCTAAGAGCAGTGCTTGAGATATTTTGTCAAGACCCTGTACTTGACGGCTCAGCTGGCACCACCCAGATCAATAAAGTGGCTCCTCTCGTCTTGTGGCCCCCACCCAGAAACTGACTCAGTACAAGGGGCGGCTTTGATTCCCTAGGATTGCATCACTGACCTGACCAATTAGCTAGCACTCCCCACATTCCAAACCCCTACCCACCAAATTATCCTCAAAAACCCCAGTTCCTGAGTTTTGGGGGAGACTGATTAGAGTAATAATAAGACTCCTGTCTCCCGTACATCTAGCTCTGTGTGAATTAAACTCTTTCCCTATTGCAATCCCCTGTCTTGATAAATCAGCTCTGTCTAGGGCAGCGGGCAAGGAGAACCTGTTGGGTGGTTACAGGAGAATCACCTGAGCCTGGGTGGTCAAGGCTGCGGTGAGCTTTGATTGTGCCACTGCACTCTAGCCTGGGTGATAGAATGAGACCCTGTCTTGAAAAATTAAAAAAAATAATAATAAAACAGGAATCATAAAGAAATGGAATAGAACCAGCATATACTCTTCAAGTATTTTTGCCTTCTCCTTAAGAAGATGGTAGCTTGTATTTTTGTTGTTGTTGGTTTTAGAGATGGGATCTCACTGCGTTGCCCAGGCTGGCCTCAAACTCCTGGGCTCAAGCGATCCTTTCACCTCAACTTCCCAAGTAGCTGGGACTACAGGTGAATGCCATGGTACCCAGCTAGTAGCTGGCATTTTGAATGGTATACACTAATCCCTTGTTTTTGTTTGGAGGAAAGGTAAGCAGATATACATGTTTTGCAAGTCTTTAAAATAATCCAATTTGGGCCAGGTGCAGTGGCTCACACCTGTAATCCCAGCACTTTGGGAGGCCGAAACAGGAGGATTACTTGAAGCCAGGAGTTCAAGTCCAGACTGGGAAACATAGTGAGACTCTGTCTCTTAAAAAAAATTTTTTTTCACTAGTTGAGTGTAGTGGTGCACTTCAGCCTGGACTACAGAGCGAGACTCTGCCTCTATAAAACAAAAAATTCAAATAAAACTGTCCAACTTAGTCCTTAATAGGGTTTCTTATTTATTTTCTTTTTCTTTTGTTTCTTTCTTTCTTTTTTTTTTTTTTGACAGAGTCCATCTGTGTCACCCAGGCTAGAGTGCAATGGTGCAATCTTGGCTCACTGCAACCTCTGCCTCCTGGGTTCCAGCGATTCTCCTGCCTCAGCCTCCCAAGTAGCTGTGATTACAGGTGTGTGCCACCCACCATGCCTCGCTAACTTTTGTATTTTTAGTAGAGACGGGGTTTCACCATGTTGGCCAGGCTGGTCTTGAACTCCTGACTTCAAGTGATCCACCCGCCTCAGCCTCCCAAAGTGCTGGGATTACAGGCATGAGCCACCGCGCCCGGCCCAGCTTTCTCATTTCTTGATATTGCTAATGTAAGTGACTGTCACAGCAAACCACATAGCTGGGACAATTGTATCTCCCATCAGCCATGTATGGAATCTCCTTTCCTTTTAGGTTCTTACCAAACATCAGCTAGCCAGCATAGTCAGTGGATGAGTCCTTTTTTAAAATGAAATTTTTAATTTTATTTTAGTAGAGACAGGGTCTTTCTGTGTTGCCCAGGTTGGTCTCGAATTCCTGGGCTCAAGCAATCCTCCCACTTTGACATCTCCCAAAGTGCTGGCATTACAGGCATGAGCCACTGCACCTGGCCAGTCAGTGGATGATTTCTAGTTTTATTATCTAACTTATTTAACATATTTAAATTATGGAGTTTTAAAATGAACTTTTTAGTTCTTTAATAAAATTGTGTGAAAAACAAAGTATCATCATAAAATACAGGTTATACTCATTAAATAGGAATGCTCTATAATGCTTGGTGACAGAAATAGCCTCCTGGAAAGTGAGCATAGGATGAGAGAGTAGAGAGAAGTTGTTTTCAAGATATTTCTTTTTTGTTGTTGTTGTTTTGAGACAGAGTTTCGCTCTTATTGCCCAGGCTGGAGTGCAGTGGTGCGATCTCAGCTCACTGCAACCTCCACCTCCCAGGTTAAAGTGATTCTCCTGCCTCAGCCTCCGAAGTAGCTAGGATTACAGGTGCCCGCCACCATACCAGGCTAATTTTTTGTATTTTTAGTAAAGATGGGGTTTCACCATCTTGGTCAGGCTGGTCTGGAACTCCTGACCTTAGGTGATCCATCCACCTCGGCCTCCCAAAGTGTTGGGATCACAGGCGTGAGCCACCGCGCCCGGCCTGTTTTCAAGATATTTCTAGCACTGCTGGTTCTGATTCAAGTAGCGCTCACCTGGAATTCTGACCAAGGACTGCTAGGTTCCTGTGTGTGGGGCAATTATTATGGGGAGAGGAAATGGTCTGAATAGCCCCTCATACTGTCCTCTAGCCACCGTGAGAACAGGGAACCACTTGGTCCATGGTAGCTGTCATTGATTCAGTATTTTCTGTGTGCCAGGCACTGGTCTTAGTGCCTTAAGTATATTGAAAATGTTTAATCCTTCTAGCAACCCTCAGAGTTGTTTTTTCTTGGAAAAGTTGAGTAACTCGCCAAAGGTTACATATCTAGTAAATGATGGACCTGGGATTTATACCACTGAGTCTGGCTTCAGGGTCTGTACCTTATGTTTCTGTTGTTTAAGTTGGCTCAGGCCAATGAGGACTACGAGGGTGTCTAGTTTCGGAAACAAACTGGAAATGGGCAACCTAAAACTCCAGGATATTCTCTCTCTCTCTCTCTCTCTCTATCTCACACACACACACACACACACACACACACACACACACACACACACACGCACCCCTCCATTCCTCCCTGAACATCTGTTTTATCCTCGTCTGTCATTACAGATCAGAACTTTCTGCTTCTCAGTCTACATGGCAGGACATGGACAACCCCAGTACCCCGACTTCTACAGCCTCCCTTTTAAAAGCGCCTAGTCTGTGAGGGGGATACCTTGGTAATAATTCCTAATTCTCAGCAAAAGGACTTTGGCTCAGCAGGGATTAGATGTTAACTCTCAGAACAGCAACTGGGCTGAGGCAAGGACATGTGGTACAATTGTGGCTGCTCCTTCTGCAAACCTATAGGTATGAATGGACAGTTTTCTGAAAGGGGGAAAGGTAAGGGGTTGCTGTAGAGAAAGACGAAGAGGCAACCCAATAAGTATCTACTACGTTTAGATTATACTGAAACGCAAATGAGAAATATTTTTTGGACCCCTGTCTCTTCTTGAACCCATCAACTTAGGTACGCTTTTTTTTTTCTTTTGAGATAGAGTCTCACTCTGTCGCCCAGGCTGGAGTGCAGTGGCACAGTCTTGGCTTACTGCAAACTTTGCCTCCTGGGTTCAAGTGATTCTACTGCCTCAGCCTCCGGAGTACCTGCGATTATAGGCATGTACCACCACACCCGGCTAATTTTTATATTTTGGTAGAGACGGGGTTTCACCATGTTGGCCAGGCTGGTCTCGAACTCCTGAACTCAGGTGATACGCCTGCCTCGGCCTCCCAGGGTGCTGGGATTACAGGCGCGAGCCACCACGCCCAGCCAATTTAGGTATAGCTTTATGAATTTACGAAATAAGAAACAGGATCAGTAGCTATTTTTAAACCTGAAGGCACCCAATGCCATTAAGTAATGCCCATAAGGAAGCAAAAAAGGACAGAGATAAGAGTGAGCTTTACTGAGTTTCCCTAAATGGAAGATGTTAGTCTTGTTCTACTAGATCCACAACCCATGAGCCTTCCTTGACACAGAGGAAACATCCACATTAGCTGCTGTTTTAATTCTTGGAGAAGTCATAAAGTTAATAGTATTAAAAATCGCTGAAGTGGAAACTAGTGATACAAGGTGAAAGACAGTGGACTCCATATCACAGCCTCATCTGGTGCTGGTGCCTCAATCTTCACTCTTTTCTAGACCAAGGCCCATTACAGAGCTGACAGTAAAACTTAATAAGAATCTTAATAGTGGCCATTTTATCAAGATGAGAAAAATAAAAACAAGGAGACAAGTTTTTTTAAAGACCAAGATTATATAAATCATGTTGTATGTTAATATTACACATACAGTGTGGCCTCTTTACCTACAGGGTGTTTTCTTCTGAGAATTTGATACCTCCTTTGATATCTAGGATTCAGTCTTTTTAATAACTTCTAATCTGTATATATGAATTCTGGGAAATGCATATTATTTATTGTGATTTTCAAGTGAGAATTGACAATTACCTAAAATTTAAAAATATTAGTTTAAAATATTTTGTTTATCTTTGCACATTAACTCAGACAAGTCACAAATATTTCCCAAGGAGCTTCCATTATGTAGAGCAGGACAAGGGCCCCCTCTGGGGAATTTTGTTCTTCAAGGCTATTGCTGTCATACCTTTTTCCCCATCCATCTTCACTCTGTGGCTAGTATGGACTCTAACGACAGAGTTCAGTAGTCATTGGGGTATAATCAATGGTGGCAGCCCATGCCACTTGGGAATAATGCTCTCATTATTCTTGGAATCAGGCATTCCACCACCCTCTACTCCAGGTGAAAGAAATATACTGCTCTTTCTCAGCAGTGAACTTTGCTGAGGTGAAAAGGCTATTGAGTTCTTGTCTTTTATACATGAGGAAAGCCATGTCGGTGAATAGATGAGGTATCAAGGAGCATGGGTGGTGAATATGACTGCCATAAATGAATATCTCAAGTTATATGGTTACAGAATTCAAGAATAATGGGCAGATCAAAATCACAAAATTAGAGTGAGACAGTAATCTTTGATTTACATCAAAGCACAGAATTTCTCAGTGTGCAGTTGGTTCTAAATGATCTCTTAAGCAGAACATTCTGTAATGTCTTTTTGGCAGCTGGCCTTCTGTTAAACATTTGCTTAAGAATCACCATATGCTGTCGCTATTGATTTGGTCTTCCCATAGTGTAGAACTCTCAAGCCTCTCTACCCTGTTCAAAGCCTTGCCAGCTATCCTTGCCTAAAATTAAAATTTTCCAAACTGAATGACATCAAGATAGGTGTATTAATTTTCAGATGGGAAAAGGCAGAATAGTTCAGAGTGCAGGCTAGAAAGAAGTGTGACAGGCACCACAGCATGTGAAAGCTATAGGGGGACTGTAGATCTTTAGATGCCTGGGGCAAGAGATTGTGGATAAATACATGAGAACATCTAAGGCCCTGAGAAGAAGCTGTGGGACTCTTTGGGAAATTAAGACTCTTTGGGAAATTAAGACATGTAAAAAGAGATATGTATATGGGGGTAATAAAAAACATGCAAACACACACGCCCAGGCAGGGTACACGTCCAAAAGAAACCTGAGAATTCCCAAGCTGATCACGAGTCTTAGAAATTATACTGCTAATTAGGTCTTCCTTGTCACAGTACAGTCTGCAAAGACTGAGAGAGGTGGCTGTTTTAGCAAATGCCCGATTAAAAAAAAATCACAAGGCGTACAAAGAAACAGAAAAAAACATAGTCCATTCAAAGGAACAAAATAAATCTACAGAAGCTGTAATTGAAGAAGCACAGGCATTGGAATTACTAGACAAAGGCTGTAAACACGTGATCTTACATATGTTCAAAGAACTAAGGAAAAACATGGAGAAACACTAAAGGACACCAGGAAAACAACATATGAACAAAATGAGAACAACCACTACAGCAAAAGATTTAAATTATTAAAATAAAAACCAAACATAAATTCTGGAATTGAAAAATGCAATAACTATTTAAAAACTACAGCTGAGGGGTTCAACAGCAAACTTGAGCATGTAGAAGACTCAATGAACATTAAGACAGGTTATTTTTTATTTATTTATTTATTTTTTTAGATGGAGTCTTGCTCTGTTGCCCAGGCTGGAGTGCAGTGGTGCAATCTTGGCTCACTGCAACCTCTGCCTCCCAGGTTCAAACAATTAAGACAAGTTATTTTAAAGTATTGAGTCTGAGGAACAAAAAGAAAAATGATTTTTAAAAAGTGAACAGAATCCAGCTTATGGGACACCATCTAGCAGACTATTCTGTGCCTGCAACGCATGAGGGGAGAAGAAAAGACACACACACAATACCTTTAAGGGCAAACAACCTTTATCCCACATAAATGGCGATGGAGATATAATAAGCAAATGACATAATAAGCAAATTGATATAATAAGCAAACTGCAATGGGAAGGAGAGAAGGGAAAACATATATGTGTGTGTGTATATATATATATATATATATATATATATATATATTTTTTTTTTTTTTTTTTTTTTTTTTTTTTTTTTGCACTCACCAGACTATGGAGGATTCACCACCAGGCCAGGAAGCAACAGCCTGGGCTCCAGAGTCAGCCACTTGTCCGTGCACAGATGAGGAGAGGTCTCATGAAGCTTTGACGTAGTCTGGGACCCTAGCTCTTTTTGTAACAAGTTGTTTGGCATGAGGCCCAGTCAAGAGGGCCCTTCACACTGGGCTCAAGGAACACAAAAAGGTCAACTTGTTTTTGTAATCGTCTGTTATTTTTCAATAACTAATATATAGGAATAGATCAAAGTAGAGATTTCTCTGAAACAGTGTTGGATGAATGCCTCAAGGGGCTTACACAACCTGTTCCAGGACTTGGTGACCATTGTTTGTGTCCATGTTCAGTTGAGTTCAAATTTGATATTTAGCTTTTCCTCCACATTGACCAACGTAGGCATTATGAAAATTTAAGAAGTGGAAGAGACAGAGAAAGGAGTAGAGTTTATCTGAAAAAGTAATGGACAAAAGACTCCCCAAATTTGAGGAAAGGTATAAATCTACAAATCCAAGAAGCCTAGTGAACTTTAAGAAGGACAAACCCAAATAGACCCACACTGAGACACATTATGATAGAACTGTCAAAAACCAAAGACAAAGAGAGAATCCTGAAAGCAGGAAGAGTGGCTGGGTGTGGTGGCTCATGCCTGTAATCTCAGCACTTTGGGAAGCTGAGGTGAGAGGATCACTTGAAGCCAGGAGTTTGAGACCAGCCTGGGCAACACAGTGAGACCCTGTCTCTACAAAAAACACAAAATTTAGCCAGGCATGGTGGCATGCACCTGTAGTCCCAGCTATTTTAGGAGGTAAAGTGAGAGGATCACATGAGCCCCATGAGCCCAGGAGTTTGAGGCTACAGTGAGCTATGATCATGCTACTGCATTCCAGCCTGGGCAACAGAGCAAGACTCTATCTTAAAAAAAGGTGGGAAGGGGCAGCAAGAATAAAGCAACTTGTCACATACAAGGGATCTTTAATTAGATTATACACATATTTCTTAGCAGGCCAGAAGGCAGTGGGTTAATATCTTTAACATATTAAAAGAAAAAAAAAACCTGTCAACTGAGAATTTTATATTCAACAAAACTGTCCTTCAAAAATATGAGGAAAATTAAGGAATTCCCAGATTTAAAAAGCTAAGGAAATTCATTACCACTAGACTTGCCCTGCAATAAATGCTAAAGAGATTCTCTCAGTTTGAAATGAAAGTATACTTGACTATAACTCAACAATATGAAGATCTCTGGTAAAGGTAAATACATAAATGAATGCAAAAACCAGTATTACTATAATTTTGGTTTGTAATTCCACTTTTTATTTTCTAAAGAATTTAGAAGACAAATGCATAAAGTAATCATAAATCTATGTTAATGGGCACATAAAGGTGTAATTTATAGTATCAACAACATAAAGTGGAGTGGCAACAGAGCTATAATGGAATAGAGTTTTTGTATGTGATTGAAGTTGATATTAATTCAAAATAGATTGTTATAACTTCAGGATGTTATATGTAATCACCATGGTCACCACAAAGGAAGTATCTATGAATACACACAAATGGAAATGAAAAGGGAATCAAAATGTGTCACTGCAAAAAAATCAGCTGAAAACAAACAAAAGCAGTAATGGAGGAAATCAGGGACAAAAATTTGTACAATATGCAGAAAACATACAATATAATGCCAAAAGTAAGTCTTTCCCTGTCAGTAGTTACATTAAATGTAAATGGATTAAACTCCTCCATGAATAGACATAGATTGGCAAAATGGATTTAAAACAAACAAACAAAACAGGATCCAGCTATCTGCTGTCTACAGAAGATTCACTTCAGATTTAAGGGCACACATAGATTGAAAATGAAAGGATAAAAAGATTCCATGCAAATAGTAACCAAAAGAGAGTAGGGGTGGCTATACTAAAAAAATATAGATAAATAGACTGTAAGTAGAAAACTGTCACAAGAGACAAAGAAGAATATTGAATAATAATAAAGGCTTCAATTCACAAAGAAAACATAACAATTATAAATATGTATGCAATAAACATCAAATCTCCTATATATGAAGCAAACATTGATAGAATTAAAGGGAGAAATAGACAGCTCTACAATAATAATAAAAGACATCCATAGAACATTCCACCAAACAAGAGCAGAATGCATATTCTACTTAAGTGTACGTAGAACATTCTCCAGTATAGGTTAATATATTAGGTCACAAAACAAGTCTTAAATATCTTGAAAAGAATAAAATCATACAAAGCATCTTTTCTGATCACAATGGAATTAAACTAGAAATCAATAGCAGAAGGAAAACTGGAAAATTTATAAATAGGTGGAAATTAATTAACACAGTCTTAAGCAACAAAAGGTCAAAGAAGAAATCACAACAGGAATTAGAAAATATCTTGAGACTAATGAAAGTGAAAATCAAAATACAGCATATCAAAACTTATAAAATGCAGTGAAAGCAGTGCTAAGAGGAAAATATATAGCTGGAAATGCTTCCATTAAAAAAGAAAAACTCGGCCGGGCGCGGTGGCTTGCGCCTGTAATCCCAGCGCTTTGGGAGGCTGAGGTGGGCGGATCACGAGGTCAGGAGATCCAGACCATCCTGGCTAACACGGTGAAACCCCGTCTCTACTAAAAATACAAAAAATTAGCTGCGCATGGTGGCGGGCGCCTGTAGTTCCAGCTGCTCGGGAGGCTGAGGCAGGAGAATGGCGTGAACCCAGGAGGCAGAGCTTGCAGTGAGCCGAGATCACGCCATTGCACTCCAGCCTGGGCAACAGTGCAAGACTCCATCTCAAAAAAAAAAGAAAAGAAAAACTCTCAAATAACAGAAACCTAAGTTTACACCTTAAGAAACTGGAAAAAGAAGAACAAACTAAATCCAAAGCTAGCAAAAGGAAGGAAACAATAAAGATCAGAACAGCAATAAATAAAATAGAGAATAGAAAAACAATTAAAAAATAGAAAACCAAAAGTTCATTCTTTGAAATTATGAACAAAATTATAATTCTTTAGATACACTTAGAAAAGAGACAAGACTCAAATTACTACTACCAGAAACGAAAGTGGGAACATAAGTACTGATTTTACAGAAATAAGAGGATTTATAGGAGAGTACTATCAACAACTGTTATCCCAACAAATTGGATAATGTAAAAATTGAAGATGAGGGAACATTCCTAACTCATTCTGTGAGACTAGCATTACCCTTAATGTCAAAGCCAGACAAAGACAATACAAGAAAACTACTGACCAATAATCCTTATGAATATTAATGTAAAAAACACTCAACAAAATACTAGCAAACCAAATTCAACAGCATACTGAAAGGATTATACCCCATGAGAAAATGGGATTTTTTTCCTGGAATACAAGGATGGTGCAGCATATGAAAATCAATCAATTAAAAAGTGAATTACCACATGATTCAGCAATTTCAGCACATGATTCAGCAATTTCACTTCTGAATATATACCCTGTGCAGGCTGAAGCAACTCCATCTTAGATGCTCATACGTCATATTACCTTCTGATTAACCCCAAATCTGGGAAGGCCTCTGAGATTTCCAATTTGTCTATTGCTCCTTGTGTAAGACCACCTACTCACCGTAAATCAGGGCATTCTCACAAATAGAGATTCTCACAAATCTCTATTAAATGTTTCTTCCTAGGAAACTGGATTTGTCCACCTCTTGAGCCTCTCAGCTTCCTTGGACTTTGGGGTAGGTTTGTACAGACCTGCCCATTGTGAAACACACCTCCCAATAACTGAATGCAGGGATTCAAACAGATATTTTTCCACCCATGGGAGCATTATACACAATAGTCACAAAGTGGAAGCCGGACGGGTGCAGTGGCTCACACCTGTAATACCAGCACTTTGGGAGGCTGAGGCAGGCGGATCACTTGAGGTTAGGAGTTTGAGACCAGCCTAGCCAACATAGTAAGACTCCATCTCTACTAAAAATACAAAAATTAGCCGGGCCTGGTGGCATGTGCCTGTAATCCCAGCTACTCAGGAGGCTGAGGCAGGAGAATCGTTTGAACCCGGGAGGCAGAGGTCGCAGTGAGCCAAGATCATTCCATTGCACTCCAGCCCGGGCGACAGAGCTAGATTCCATCTAAACAAAACAACAACAACAACAACAACAACAAAAGTGGAAGCAACCCAATTCTCCATCAATAGATGAATGGATAAACAAAATGTGGTATATACATACAATGGAATGTAATTCAGGAATTGTAGTCATTATTCTTTTTGATGCTCAACTTGATTCTTTCACCAGTGAAAGTCCCTTTAAATCAGCTGGGTTCACAGTATTTTACAGCTTCCTTGCTTTCTGGCACAAAAGTTGCAGGCTTATCTGCAATACAGTATTTGTTGATCTAGACCTTGAATCCGCCATTTCTTTATAGGTAAAAAATGGTATTTAGAAATACCAATCTGCTTGCTATTTGATATTGCTAAAGGATATCACTACTTTTAGATCCTTTCAGTGCACATGAATTCATATTGCTAGTCCCAATTCAAATTTAACATTATAGGATTTATTATTACCTTATTACTTTTATTTTCATGTATATTTTCCTTTACATTGAAAACTTTGATGTGAGTGCTATGCGTATCTGTAATTTTCAAAAGTCATTTCCATGAAGATCTATAGTTTATAGACATATTTAAGTGAAATAATTTTAGCACAAGGCCAGGCACAGTGGCTCACGCCTGTAATCCCAGCACTTTGGGAGGCTGAGGCGGGTGGATCACCTGAGGTTGGGAGTTCAAGACCAGCCTGACCAACACAGGGAAACCCTGTCTCTACAAAAATACAAAAATTAGCCAGGTGTGGTGGCGCATGCCTGTAATCCCAGCTACTCGGGAGGCTGAGGCAGGCGAATAGCTTGAACCTGGGAGGCGGAGGTTGTGGTCAGCCAAGATCGCGCCATTGCACTACAGCCTGGGCAACAAGAGTGAAACTCCGTCTCAAAAATAAATAAATTAAATAAATAAATAAATAAATAATTTTAGTGCAATTTACATAAAGCTTTTAGTAATAATGTTAACTACTTTCAACACATTTTCACTTAGGGGAAGATACCTTTCCTGGATTGAAGCTCACTAACGTAAGGAGAAATAGGCAGAACACATGAGGCCTCTCCATAGTTAAAAAGCCTTTGAAGGGGAGGAAACTATAGTATGGTTCATTTTAAATTTTGAGTCAGTTTAACATTGCATTTTCTGAGTATTAGAAATTGAGAAAGGGAGATGCTTCCTTTTTTATTCTTTTAATAAGAGGTTATTATTATCAGATTTGTAATTAAACACTTAAAACATTAAAAAATTGATTGCACTAAAGAGGATGTTTTTTAATTTTTGAGATGGGTCTTGCTATTTCATCCAGCCTGGCCTTAAGCTGCTGGGCCCAAAGGATGCTCCTGCCTCAGTCCTCCTGAGTAGCTGGGACTACAGGCATGCACCACTGTGCCCAGCTTGGGATTTTTTTTTTAAAGTTATTTTAATGGTGTGAAGAGCTCCAGCACAATGAGAACAGAGCAACCAAAGAGGAAGTAGCCCTTTGCTGCAGAGGATCCAGGGGCACCTAAATCCTAGCTATGTGTCCCCCCATGTGCTTGCATGTATCCTACCCACACCAGATGAGGCTAGAAGAGAGAGAGAATTAGAAGAATGGAGGGGGAAGTAAAAAAAAAACAACCTTATAAAACAGAACCTCTGTTCTCAGCTCAGTTACACTTTTAGCTTTAGCTTTTTTGTTTGTTTTTTTTATAATTTTAATTTCTCTGCTGACTTTTTTATCTAATGTGTTTATTTATAAAATCATATTTTCCTTTAAGTCATTGGACATTTATACTAGCTGTTTTAATATCTTTGATGAAATCTGACATCTGGGCCATCTAGTGATCATATTTTCTAGTCCCACGAGCCTAAAGCATTTATTATCTTGCCTCTTACAGAAAAAGGTCGCCAACCCGTGTTCTAGAGCACGGACTTTATTCCTAAGGTATGGGATTTCTGTTGTTTTATATTGATGCACGAGGTGTTGTAAAAGTCATTAACTAACAGGGCCAGAACTTGGTCTTCCAGCAACTCTTAACCTCTAATATCTCTGTTCCACTCTCAACCCCATAGCAGCCACTATCAGATAATCCTTGATTTGTCTTCGTGCATATAAATCCCATCCCTCTGCCAAAGATTTGCAGGAAACCCATTCAGATTTCTGCCTGGCAAGGATTTTCAGAAAATTCCCACACACAACTCTGCCTTTGTTCACTATGCAGTTCCTTCTTTTCTAGTGTCCTGCTCTGCAGAATCCAGCCATATCAATAGCCCCAAACTCTAAAGTCCCTCCTCAGCTCCATGGGACCACCATGCTCTGCTTGGGTTCCAGGTTCCTGCAATGCAGTCAGGAAATTGTTCCTAGACAGAGTGCTGGGCAACTGTAGAAGTCTTTGTCTGAGTTTCCCTTCCCTCAGGATTGCAGTCTATGTTGCTTTTGCCTAGTGCCTTGAAACTATTGCCCTATATATTTTGTCTAGTTTTGTGGAATTTCCTGTTGTTGGCCAGGCACGGTGGCTCACGCCTGTAATCCCAGCACTTTGGGAGGCCAAGGCAGGTGGATCACTTGAGGTCAGGAGTTCAAGACCAGCCTGGCCAACATAATGAAACCCTGTCTCTATTAAAAATACAAAAAGTTAGTCATGCATGGTGGCATGGGCCTGTAATCCCAGCTACTCGGGAGGCTGAGGTGGGAGGATCACGTGAATCTGGAAGGTGGAGGTTGCAGTGAGTTGAGATGGTACCACGGCACTCCAGCCTGGGCAACCGAGTGAGACTCCATCTCAAAAAGAGAAAAAAAAAAAAAAAAGAATTTCTTCTTGTCTTAAGGAAAGAGGAAAATGGGAATATTTATAAAGGGAAATATTATATTTTAAAAACTGGTGACATCTGATACTATCATAGCCTGTCTTTTAAATAAGCTCACTATGATCCTGGGGATATTATAAAAGAAAACAAGCCGGGCGTGGTGGCTAACGCTTGTAATCCCAGCACTTTGGGAGGCCAAGGTGGGCAGATCACAAGGTCATGAGTTCGAGACCAGCCTGGCCAAAATGGTGAAACCCTGTCTCTACTAAAAATACAAAAATTAGCCGGACGTGGTGGCGGGCACCTGTAATTTCAGCTACTCGGAAGGCTGAGGCAGTAGAATCACTTGAACCTGGGAGGTGGAGGTTGCAGTGAGCCGAGATCACACCACTGCACTCTAGCCTGGGTGACAGAGCAAGACTTTGTCTCAAAAAAAAAAAAAAAAAAACATTAATTCATCTAAAGTTCAGTAATATAAAATAGGAATATAATATTCTAATTCTGTTAGTTCAAATCTTATACACCTTCATATCATACTTTTCCATAAGAATACATTTGAGCTTTGGATAACTCTATGCGCCCTTGGTTATTTACCTGAAGAATGCTGAGAACTCAAAATTGGATAAACTAAAGACATTTGACCTCAACTTTCTCAACTTAAAAAAAATTCAATTTTATGTGGACCCATTATTTCAAGGATTGATGGTACTAACAGGATTTAAACTATTAATTGCATTTCGCCAGTTTTCAGAGAATGTTTTTTTAAGGGTCAATATTACAAAAACTTTGAAGAGAAGCTAGAATGAGAGGTGGTCCTTTTGTTGCTATTTTAAGTATTAGTTTGGAAATGAGAAAGAATATGCTATATGATTATCTGCAACCTACTCTCATATCTAAAACAAAAGTTTTTAAAAATTAATTCTTTATATCTATCTGTCTCTATCTATCTATCTATCTATCTATCTATCTATCTATCTATCTAAATATATATGGATTTTTTTTTCGAGGCAAGGTCTTGCTTTGTCACCCAGGCAGGAGTACAGTGGTGCAATCTCAGCTCATTGCAACCTCCACCTCCTGGGCTCAAGCAATCCTCTTACCTAAGCCTCCTGAGTAGCTGGGACTATAGACGTATGCCACCACACCCAGCTAATTTTTTTAAATATATATTTTTAATTATTTGTATCTTTGACAACATAAAAAATCTTATTTTATGATAAGATTTACTACTAAAAACCACTATGCAAAATAGTGGTTTCTGTAAAAAATTTAATGCTTAATATTTTTTATGTTCTTTGACATTCCCAGAATATATGTCTGTTTAAGTCTCAGTTATGAAGAGACTATAAAAATTCAATGTTTTGACATATTAAATCATCCTCTCATCACAACATAGAGATGAGGAAAATGCAACCAGAATGCTTCATGTCTTTCTTTGAGCTAGGTAGCAGCACATGGAGGGCCTGCCTTTAGACAAGAGTTTTTCCCACAATGATGTGGACAGTAAGATATCAAGTTATTAGGAACTCTCAAACTTAGATTTGTTAATAATCAACAATCACAAACATTTGAGGAAAACCAACGTCCTGAGAGACAGTAATCTCTATACATGAGGAGACTTTAACGAAGCAGAAGGGGGTTCTAAAATAACTATAGTTAATATTTTTGGAGGGCTAAGAGTCAGTATCACCTGCAGAATGTGGACTGGATGATAAGAAAAGGTTTTGCATAAGAAAAATAGCTTTTAAAGGTAAAAAATTCAACAGACGGGCTGAATAGCAGATAAGACACAATCCAAGAGCAAATCAGTGAACTAGAATATAAAGCGAAGGACTTCTTCGAGAATACAACACACAACGAGAGGCAAGTTATGAAAGAAAAGTTAAAAGATAGGAGGGACAGATCCTCGAGTTCCATCATTCCCAAGTTGCTTTGCTGATGTGACTGTCATAAGTAAAGACCGGCTTCTTGCTTTTCTTCTTAGCCCAAAATAAGTTCTGTTAGCCAGGCTTTTCTCTTCCCTGGATTTGAGGTATTGCACACCCCATTATAGAGGCCAAAGGCACCACCACACCTGAAGAGCTGAGGAGGTACCAGCCTGGCCAGAGAGCATGCCCTCTTTTTTTTTTTTTTTTTTTTTGAGATGGAGTCTTGCTCTGTTGCCCAGGCTGGAGCTCAGTGGTGCAATCTCGGCTCACTGAAGCCTCTGCCTCCCAGGTTCAAGTGATTCTCTTGCCTCAGCCTCCGGAGTAGCTGGGATTATAGCTGTGCACCACCACACTGGCTAATTTTGTATTTTTAGTAGAGACGGGGTTTCACCATATTGGCCAGGCTGGTCTTGAACTCCTGGCCTCAAGTGATCTGCCTGCCTTGGCCTCCCAAAGTGCTGGGATTACAGGCCTGAGCCACCGCACCCAGCCTTGCCCTCTTGTGCCACATGGTCTGAGGTGTGGTCCTGCTCTTTGTATCCTGGCCTGCTGCTCCTCCTTCCCAAGCCAAGGCTTTAAACTAAAGTTTGCTCCTGGAACAGCCCAAATAAATGAGGCTTATGCGTGGAGTCTCCAAAGTTCTTTAACTAATTTAGCCTGTCCTGGGACCACACATAGCCCTGGCACTTGGCCCAGACTTTCAAAAAATAGAGGCAGAAGTACTTCTCTCTCTTTCACTCTTTAGCCTCATACCAACTAGGAGTTCTTAGAAGTTTCATTAGCAACTTCTAGGTGCAGCTTCTGCCGCATTTTCACTGAAAGCCCAATTAAGGGCTCTCACTGTCACTACTATTTAAACACACACATAAGGCCAGGCATGGTGGGTCACACATAATCTCAGCATTTTGAGAGGCCAGGATGGGAGGATTGCTTTAAGCCAGGATTCAAGACCAGCCTGGGCTACATGACGAGACCCATTTCTACAACAACAAAAATACACACACACACACACACACACACACACACACACACATATATATATACAAACACACGTAAGCAATTAAATTTAAAAAACAAAAACAAGCCAATGTATATGAACCCATTGGTGGCAGCCCAGGATGTGAACAAGACTAGAGTTCCCTAACTCGTGAACACCGACAGAGGCTGGGTTCAGAGACCAGTGACCCTGGACCATTGGCAGTTTCCACAATTGTGCAAACAAACTTCCTAAATTCTGATGGACAACACGCTAACTCTGAGAGGGTCACAATATGTCAGCACTGAAAGAGGAAATCAGTTTGAACTGAAAAAGGAAAAAGTGGCTCTGCTGTGAATCAGGCTCAGAGGACAGGCAGAGAGACCAGCTGCAAAGGTCACGAGAATCATCATTTCTCTAAGGCAGGGGTCCCCAAACTCCCGGGCTGCAGACTGGTACCAGTCTGTGGCCTGTTAGGAACCGGGTTGCACAGCTGGAGGTGAGCACGCATTACCACCTGAGCTCCGCCTCCTGTCCGATCAGCAGCCACGTTCGATTCTCATAGGAGCACGGACCCTACTGTGAACTGTACATGCGATTCTCCTTATGAGAATCGAATTCCTGATGATCTGAGGCGGAACAGTTTCATCTGGAAACCATCCCCCCTGCCACCCTACACACTGTCTGTGGAAAAATTGTCTTCCACAAAACTGGTCCCTGGTGCCAAAAATGGTAGGGACTGCTGCTCCAAGGTCATGCTGCAGTTTGAAATGTCATAAGGATCACAAGGATCCCCTCTTTGAGTGACTACTGGTTTCTCACCAATGATGCCCCCAGACCTGCTTTGTGAATCTTGTCTATTACTGGCAATACCCAACTGGGAAGGGTTTACGACAGCACCCATGTCGTGATTAATCCCTGCTTCTATGAACCCCACTTTAGACACCACAACCAATCCAGAACTGATCTCTGCTTCCCTTAGGTCTGCCTCAGACTCCTACAGTGGGATCCTAAACCTTGCTAAAGGGGCATTTCTCCTCCCTCATTTTGAGCAGGATGCTATGGTTCCTATGGAATGTCCCTCTCACTGCATCGAGTCAAAAAGTTCGATTTGAACAGGCTACAGGCTTGTCCCTGGTGGTCTTTGGAAGATTCAGCTTTAATACCTCTGAGAAATTTCCCGATAGACTGGATCATGAAGGGGTGAGCCGCTTCTCTGAGGCCTGTTTTGCCACCTTCTAATCAGGAGGCACAGCCAAGATAAACCCTCCCAGGTGCCAGTTTCTCACAGGGCTCCAGGTGCCAGTTCTTAGGACAGCTCTGTTTTAATGAGCTCTTGACGAAAGAGTCCATCAATATTGGGTACAAAGTGCACTGATAAGTTATCCTAATATGAGGGAACATTTTTTGGGTGCCAGGCATTTCCGTGTATGTGCACACACCAAGTTTGTGATAAATGCCTGACAAAATCTAAAACATGTGAAACTCAGAATAACCCTTTGAAGCAGGTACCATTTTTTTTTTTTTTTTTGAGATGGAGTCTCACTCTGTTGCCCAGGCTGGAGTGCAGTGGCGTGATCTCGGCTCATTGCAACCTCTGCCTCCCAGGTTCAAGCGGTTCTCCTGCCTCAGGAGTAGCTGGGATTACAGGTGCCCGCCACCACGCCCGGCTAAGTTTTGTATTTTTAATAGAGACCGGGTTTCACTATGTTGGTCAGGCTGGTCTCGAACACCTGACCTCAAGTGATCCACCTGCCTCAGTCCCCCAAATTGCTGGGATTACAGGTGTAAGCCACCATGCCCGGCCTAAAGCAGGTACTATTATTTCGATTTCATAAATTGTGAAACAGGGACACAGAACAAGAAGTAGCAAAAAGAAGAACCAAGATTTGAATCCAGAATGTCTGACTTCACATTCAATCTTAACCAATAAAAATATAGACCTGGTTCCAGCTTCAGCTCAGCTGTAACCTTGCCATAACGTTGGATAGGCTGTTTATGCCTAAGGTTCAGGCTCTTTGTCTGCAAATTAGGGATGTTCCAGGACATATGATTCCCAGGCCATTCCTGTGAACTCCATTTTGGAAATTCAACTACCTACTTGACTTTATATCAAGAACTGTGAAGGGTCTGAGACTTTGCCCAACCTGCTAGCAAAGAAGCTAGCCTGCCATAGTTTCTTGGATGCTGACAGAAATTACAAGGTGTTGAAGTCAGAAATGAAGAACTTTATTCCTCATAGCACAGCAGGTAGCATGAGCTTCCTGTTCATGTCAGTTCCCCTGGCTCCCCAGATAACAGAGAGCAGCTCAGGTGGAAGCTGCACATGCAGTAGGTCTGCATCACAATGAGGAACTCTGAGCACTGGGAACCCAAACCTTTTAAAATTGACAGCAGGCCAGCGCGGTGGCTCATGCCTGTAATCCCAGCACTTTTGGAGGCTGAGGTGGGTGGATCACTTGAGGTCAAGAATTCGAGACCAGTCTGGCCAACATGGTAAAACCCTATCTCTACTAAAAATACAAAAAAAAAAAAAAAAAAAAATCAGCCGGACGTGGTGGCACACACGTGTAATCCCAGCTACTTGGGAGGTTGAGATAGGAGAATCACTTGAACCTGGGAAATGGAGGTTGAAGTGAGCTGAGATCATGCCACTGCACTCCAGCCTAGGCAACAGAGTGAGACTCCATCTCAAAGAAAAAAAATATTTTTTGACAGTAAGCCTGTCTGATCTTTCCCCAGAGGGTGACATGGTCTTTATTGCACTAGGCAGTAAACAAATCTGCCCTCTGCTTTGGAAAGAGACATTCCCTCTATAGTCCAGGAATGTTTACTATATTAACATCACTGACAATGTAGTCTAGAACAAACGCTTTCAGTGCCTCTGCTTACAAAATGTGCAGAAATGGAGTGACTGATGGAGAATTGTCTCCAAACAATATCCACTTCTTATTTCTACACTCTTGGCTTCTGGTGAATTTCGTCATAAGTGAGTCACTTTGTCAGCCACTCTGATTGCTCTGACCAATAGAGGCTGGGACCAAATCTATTCATTTTATCCGACACAGCATTTAAAGCCAGTATCCACAGGACCCAAGCATCGGGATGAGGCCAACTTACAGTATTGACCTCAACCATTTGCCCCAAGATCCTGGACCAACCCAGCTAAACAAATCTCATAAACCATCATTATCACTAAGGTTCTGTACTGACCTCTCCACGTGGCTTGAGGCATTAGCCCAGGTGCAGCAGGACGTATTAGTGAGGCACAGTCTCTGCCTTGGCCCACAAGAAAGAAACCGAGAGCAATTCTGACACCTGGCTGATGCGTCCAGGTTGACCTGACAGGTCCAAAGTGGTGATAATTAAAGTCGGGGACAAATTTGTACCACTTTTTCTAACTAGATGACTCCCATGGTAGAGAAAACAGACTGTAATGTGTGCATTAAAATGGGTCGCTTGGCTGGGCATGGTGGCTCACATCTGTAATCCCAGCACTTTGGGAGGCCAAGGCAGGCAGATCACCTGAGGTCAGAAGTTCAAGACCAGCCTAGCCAACATGGTGAAAT